>NT_187556.1:0-300000 GCF_000001405.40 Homo sapiens
TTAACTAGAATCATGTTTTAAAAAATTGATATTAAATGTGACACTTCAGAGCTACTACTAGAAGCAGTAATTCATAACTTGCCTACCCTCCTTCCATCCCTGCTGATTCAGGAGAAGGGGGAAAAAACAAAGAAAACAAAACAAAAAACTAACCAGGGTGTCTTGTAGATTTGCTGCTATGCCACAAAATGTTGGCATTTGCTGCCATGCCACAATGTTGGTCCACTGAAATAGGATTTCTGCGGAAACTGTCAACAGTAATTCACCATATGCAAGTACCATCCTTAGCATGTGAGAATAATAACAGGTTCTGTAGAAATGTACAATGTGCTGAAGATAATGAAAATTGTAGCACTGCATTTGAGATTTATTTGTCTACTTATCTAGTAAAACTTGTCATTTTTGCTCACTTAATTATGGTCATTTGTGATTCCTTTAAATAGCAAAAATGCACAGTGCCCTTTAGGCCTCTACTCAATAATAGTTTACATTACTCTTAACAAAATCATTCTACATAAACTGATAGCTCCTTAAAAAGAGTACTCTCTCATTAAATCTAATTTGACAGAAAGAAGTTTAAGGAAAAAAGGAGTGTTTTATAAGTGAAAAACTACAGATCTTTGGCCTTTCTCTTGACATTTTCATATGTCAAAAAGCAAAAATACCTTCAGGTAATTCAATCTAGTGATTACTTTTTGCACCATAATTTGTTTTTTACACCACAAGAGGAGTCACTTTCAGTATCTGTAAAAGGTATTTAATCCTAAAACATACTTACCTAGAGAATAATTAAAACAATTCAATACACTCTAATATCTATTAGGAAGTTAAGAGTTACCAGTTTAAAAGTCTTTTGAAAGTCAATGATGTTACCTGGTCAATGGCAGGAAATAGGGATTGGAACAAATATAAGAACTTATGGGATTTCCTACATGAAGGCGAAAAAAGATATTCCTTTATGTTGTTTAAAAGTAGCAGCTACTCTTTCTTTATTTCATTTTAATCAATTAGTATTCATTCAAGTTTTCCCTTCTATTTTTCCTTGTAAGTTTCTTACAGTAGCTTATACAACAATGAATAGCAAACAAAAACTACTGGATTCAATTGATCATCAGAAATAAGTTCTCAGAAAAACACAGGTGGAAAAATGAGCGAGAATCCCAAATACAGAAATTTACAAGGTGTGAAACTTCATCTCTTGCAATCGTGTTACTGCTCAAATTAGAGACAATCTTATTTCTATCTATTGGAGCAGCATCTTGGCACATCAACAGGCAATGATGAGGTTGAGAACAGCAGCAAAAATAAACAATCGTATGCTCATGAAGAACCCAAGCCTACCAGATGGATGCCTTTCAGAAAAGCGTATACTTAAAAGACCCAAGACGTCAGGATGATAAAGCTCTGTATTTATAGTCTTTTATATGTCCTTTTGTATGTCCTATTGTGGCTACTATGCTTAAGTAAAATAGCTACAGGAAAAAAAAAAAAGATGACAATATAATAAAAATGTAGCTGTCTCTTTTGGCAGCTATATTGCAGAATTTCTTGACTATCTTTTGATCAGCTGGGGAAAAGTCAATAACTGAATGCAAACGAATAAATTGTCCATATAAAAATACAAAAGTACTGTCAATAATCACCTCTGACTTTCAGGTTTAAATTCAGTGCAATTGACAAATGCATTGCTAAAGGAAAATGCAACTTAAAAGATACTCAAAACATTTGGGTCTATTGCTGGGACCACATTTCAAAATTCTTGCACAGATTTTTTTTAATTTTAATTTTAATTTTTAAACAATAACAGAGATCAACCACAGATGTGGACCTCTAGCAATAAAAGCAGGAATTCAAGTGCCAGATATTCAGCATATTAGGTTTCCTACAGAAGTCACAGGTTAAGAAGTTCTAAATATCTCTAATGTGATTCAAAACCCTAAAAAGAGCTGGCACAAAACCATCGTGAATGACTGCCTCTACTGATGCAAATTTTTTTTTTTTTTTGAGATGGAGTCTCACTCTGTCATCCAGGCTGGAGTGCAATGGTGTGGTCTCGGCTCACTGCAACCTCCGCCTCCTGGGTTCAAGCGATTCTCCTGCCTCAGCTTCCTGAGTAGCTGGGACTACAGGCGCATGCCACCTCACCCGGCTAATTTTTGTATTTTTAGTAGAGACGGGGTTTCACTATGTTGGCCAGGCTGGTCTCCAACACCTGACCTCGTGATCTGCCCACCTTGGCCTCCCAAAGTGCTGGGATTACAGGCATGAGCCACCGCGCCAGGCCTGTATGTAAATTTTTAAAAATATTATTACGGTATCATAGTCCCCACTAACAACAACTGGGATACATATAACAATGTATTGTGAAATTAAGTGTATTTATAATCTCTACCAATAGCAAATGCTACCCTACCTTGGTAAAACCAAGAGTTGCTTCAATCAATGCTGTTTTGTAAAAATAGCAAAGCAACAATTGCTGAAAATCAAAGTTGCATTCCTTGGGTTAAGCCAGTTTCTACTTAAACTTTAGTACTAAAAGGCCTCAAAATAATTCATGACAGAAATAGTGTTATTAATTTGCCAAGCTCAACAATAAGGAATTCCTTGATTAAAATCTTTGAGATATAAATTTGATGACCTTTCTCTTTAGAGATGACATACCTGGATTATACTAATCATGACAAGCCTTATTAGTCACACTTATAAACATGGCCTCATGCAATCGTTTGTCTGTATATGTTACTCTTAGTTGCATGAGAACAAGAGGTTTAATTTAATGTCTATGTCTTTAAGAAAATACTTGATATTATAAACAGAGTAAAAGACATGATAAAGTAGTGATACTGAAACAAAAATTAGCTGCTTAAATCTATCTATATTTGAAAAAATGTAGTCACAAGTATCACAAGTGCAGAATCAGAGCAGCAGGCAGAAGGTTAGTGCAATTATACTTTCATAAAAAAAAAAATCGCAATCACTGCTATTTAAAAACACCTTGAAGCAAGTCTTTTGTTTTAGAGATTGTTTTTTAAACTAAGGTAGCAAACATTTTGCCATGTAATGGAAGTGTTATATGCCGTTATCTTGCTTTGTATAAAGAAAACAACATGAGAGATTTCTAATAGTGGAGTTTGGTTACATTACATATTTAAGCTTCTACACAGAATGATAGACAATTCGAGAAGCGAATCCTTACCCAGAAACATTTCAATCTCTCAAAAAAAAAGCAAAACAAACAAACAAACAAACAAACAACAAAAAACCCAAAACTACTTTGCTCCTTTTCACAATAGTGCACATTTTTACCATAATTTATTTATGGCTACAAAACATCAGAAGTGGTTTTTTTTTTTTTTTTTTTTTTTTTTTTTTTTTTTTTGAGTTGGCGTCTCGCTCTGTCACCCAGGCTGGAGTGCAGTGGCGCGATCTCTGCTCACTGCAACCTCCGCCTCCCGGGTTCAAGCGATTCTCCTGCCTCAGCCTCCTGAGTAGCTGGGATTACAGGCGCCCGCCACTGCGCCTGGCTAATTTTTGTATTTTTGGTAGAGATGGTGTTTCACCATCTTGGCCAGGCTGGTCAAGAACTCCTGACCTCAGGTGATTCACCCGCCTTGGCCTCCCAAAGTGCTGGGATTATAGGTGTGAGCCACTGCATCCAGCCAATTTTTTAAAAAGGTATTTTCTCTATGGTAATTAAAACAACAACAACAACATTTTGTGCCCTTCTAGTCTTTAATTGGTAGAAATATGTCCCCCAAAAGAAACTATTGCATTTATGCCACATCGCCTAAAAAGAAAAAACAAACAAACAAAGAACCAAAACCAACAGAACATAATACACCTTTTATGGATGTGTCTTACAGACTGACATGACCAAAGTCATGTTTTCATTTAATTTCCAATTCTCCCTTCCACAACATGCACCAATTGAATATGTGCTCTGGGAGCCATAAAATGTACCAAACATCTACCTCTTCAAAAGAATGCATTAAAATATTTTAAAGAATTTTTTGTTGTTTAAAAGCTGAAAAAATATAAACAAGAAACTGATTCATTCCCTTACTTCATGCACCCATAATCTAAACCAAAAACAAAATTTTAAAGCAAGAACAAACTACCACTGCAAGTTTTTGTGTCCATTTTCTCTGTACATACAAACTGCTCACTACTGAAGGGAAAAAAGAATATAATCCTTGGTGTCTGCGGATTCAAAGGGGAGAAACGAGGCTGTCAGGTGGTATCCAAAAACTGGTACATGTATGTTCTGCTTTTATAATGTGTATTTTTCTCTCTTCTGTTTTTCATATCCAAAACTTCTAAATGCTATTTTAGGGGCACAGTAGATTAGATTCCAGCACTTGGTGAACAGAATTCACAAGCTGTGACAAAACTGTCATCTTCAGGGTGCAATTTTGTTTATATACATTGTATGTATATATTTCTTTCTGTTTTTCTTTTCTTTTCTTTTTTTTTTTTGAGAAGGAGTCTCGCTCTGTTGCCTAGTCTGGAGTGCAGTGGCACAATCTCTGCTCACTGCAACCTCCGCCTCCCAGGTTCAAGCGATTCTCCTGTCTCAGCCTCCCGAGTAGCTGGGACTACAGGCACGCACCACCATGCCCGGCTAATTTTTGTATTTTTAGAAGAGACAGGGTTTCACCATATTGGCCAGGCTTGTCTCGAACTCCTGACCCTTGATCCGTCTGCCTCTGTCTCCCAAAGTGCTGGGATTACAAGCATGAGCCTCTGCGCCCAGCCTATATTTCTTTTAGATTTGGCTGTAGTCGACTGGCCATGGTTCAAGTGGGACTATAGCAGTACGTGGGTCAGGGACAGTCATTTTGGCTATGTACACATTCATAGTTGGTCCATGGCTTCCAACTAGTAGCGCTATTTCCGAAAGTCTAATACACAAACTGAACCATCTGATGCACTGGCTCCAACTTTGTCTCCTGCGGCATTCCAGCAAACTTCAAAAATTCCATCTGTTCCCCTACAGTGTGAACTAGAGCACCTGTCTGTGTGTTCCAGATGTGTACACATTTGTCAAAAGAATTGCTGGCCAGATACCGGCCATCAGGACTGAAAGCTACACTGTACACAGGCTTCTCATTCAGCATTTACCTTCGGTATAGAAAGCCGTATCAGTCAGTCCAATATAAATGGTGCCCTCGTCCCACCTGCTGCATTGATTTCTATCATCCAGAAAGGTCTACAGTATGTAGAAGCAGAAGTTAGTATTAATGAGGATGGTACTTTCTTTGATGGTCGACCAATGAGTCTGTCCCTGATAGACGCCTTAATGCCTGATGTAGTACAAACAAGACAACAAGCTTATAGCGATAAGCTTAAACAGCAACAGGCAGCAGCTGCCACAGCCAACCAACAAGGATCTGCAAAAAAAAAAAAAAAAAAAAAAAAAAAAAAAAATGCAGAAAACACAGCAAATGGGGAGGAGAATGGAGCACATATTATAGCAAATAATCATACTGATACGATGGAAGTGGATGGAGATATTGAAATCCCTCCTAATAAAGCAGGACAAGGATAAATTCATGTCCTTTGCAGGGATGTGGATGAAGTCCTGTTGGACTCCATTTGATAGGATAAATTTCTTTATTATGTGCTTGCAAATCATGGACACAATTGTCTTGTTTCATACTCCATATCTTTAAAGTCATGTCATCAGAACAAGAGGCCAGGAGATTGCCAGTTGGGTCCCATTTGATAGCATTTACTTCATTCTTATGTCCCTGGAATGTTTTAATAGGTCTGTCTTGTGACCCAGTGATCCCATTACTCAGTATATACCCAAAGGATTATAAATAATGCTACTATAAAGACACATGCACATGTATGTTTATTGCAGCACAATTCACATTAGCAAAGACTTGGAACCAACCCAAGTGTTCATCAATTAGGAAAATGTGGCACATATACACCATGGAATACTATGCGGCCATAAAGAAGGATAAGTTCATGTCCTTTGCAGGGACGTGGATGAAGCTGGAAACCATCATTCTGAGCAATCTATCCCGAAGACAGAAAACCAAACACTGGACGTTCTCCCTCATAGGCAAGAGTTGAACAATGAGAATGCACGGACACAGGGCGGGGAACATCACACACCAGGACCTGTCGGGGCGTGGGGGGTATGAGGCAGGGATAGCATAGGAGAAATACCTAATGTAAATGACGAGTTGATGGGTGCAGCAAACCAACATGGCACATGTATACCTATGTAACAAGCCTGCACATTGTGCACATGTACCCTAGAAATTAAAGTATAATAAAAAAATAAATAAAACAGTTCTGATACAAAGAAAAAGAAAATGAGACAATTGGTGTAGTGACAGAAGATTCTTTAGGAATATAAGTAATATTAAAACAATGATTGGTTCCTACTTATACTGGACAAAGGCAGCCTATCAGAGTGATGTCTTACTTAGACTGTGGGTGTGATGACTGAAACTCTCTCTTTACCCTAATGAAAAGGCCATCATTTTGGGACTGGCAGAGAGGACAGCTGGAGGTTGCATGGCTCCCAGAAGGTTATGGAGCCAAGAGTGATGGCTGATTTTCTACATATGAGTTTTATCTGAGGGAGAAAAAATCTTCTATCTTATTTAGAACATTGTTATTTTGAATCCCTCTTACAAACAACTAAACCAGTTTCCTCACTAATGTGTAATATATCCTGAAAGCACTAATATCCTTACTAAAAAAATCTATGTTTCATAGGTGACTAGCAAAACTGCTGAGCTTGTGACATGTTCCACATGAAATATCTGTCAAGGGAATTCTAATGTTTTGAGTGTGTCACAGTGTTTACCCAACAACCTCCTATATATGAATTCAATTTCTCAGATATCTCAATCTAAAAGAAAAGGTTAGATAATGCTGTTATACTTTGAACCAAGAGAATAAATTTTCTGTTAATTTAGAAGTATATTTAAATCAGAATTATATGAAGAGTTATCTGTTCTTTAGTTTAGCATTGATTTAGCGATACTAACCAGTTAAATTACATGAGATAAAACATTGGAATAAAACTGGAAGGAAGAGGTTAGATTATCATTATTAATAACTGATATGGTTGTATGCCTGGGATATCCAAGAAAAACAAATTAAAACTATCACACCAACAAAGAAAATACAGGTAAATTATTTAGACTAAATCAATACGGAGAAATGAACACTTCCCCTACATAACATTAATGACCTATTAGGAAATATTAAGATAGAATAGAATTATGCTTATAATACTAACATAAAAGTTAAAATATTGAGGAATAAACCTAAGCAGAATATAAAAATGAATTGAAAATTACAGCAAGCTTTTGGATAGGGAGACATCATCAAAATATTACCACTCCCAGGAGTAAGTAAAATGTAATATAATCTCCATAAGTATACCAATGGGATTTTTTAGAGCACTATTTTTTTTCAAGCAGATTTTACATTTTGTCTGGAAAAATAAGTGAGGAAGAATAGTCAGAAAAACTCCAAAGATGAAGGAAATGAGAGTGCTGATCTAACCTATTTTAAAGCGTATTATAAAGCCTCACTATTTACAGTGATGTGGTATTAGGAAAGAATACAAGTAGTAAAATAGAAGAAAACATCCAGGGGAAAAACCCAAATACATATGAACATTTAGTGTAATATGTAGGGCTATTTCTTCTCAGTTTTCTTTGGAATCTCTATAAAAAATGGAAACATAACAGTTTAAAAGTAAACTAAAATAATTAAGATATCACAAATGTCAAAACTCAAAACATTAACACTGCATGTATTTCTAAGTAGTTACTTAGGGTCATAAAGAAATAAATTAGAACTTCCAAAGCAATCTTTAAAAGAATAATTTAAAATAATTCACGTGTCATACTGACTGTAGTACAGATTTCTACCTACTTATCCTAATCTCTGCCATCCCCTTCTTTCTTGGTAGTCTCATTCTGAATTTTTAACATGCATATGAAAGCCTGGAATAAAGATTATATTATTAAGTCTAGTTTGCAGGTAACCAAGGTTATGATCTAAATGCTGTCCAATAAAATGTAAGCATAAGTCTTGGGTGGAAGCTTCTGAAACCTCCTTGGAGGGAATTCTTGGCTCTTCTTTGCTCCTTCTTTCTCCTTGTTCATTGGAAAGAAAACATTGTATGGGGAAAGCCAACTGGTCCTATCTTGGATCATGAGTTGGCAAAAACAAATGTATCAGAGCAGCAAAATAGAAGTAACCTGAGCCCAAGAAATTTCTAAAGCTATGGACTGCCTACTTGGGAATTTATTTTAGTAATAGAAGATTCTATTTTGTTTAAAACAATATTTTTCAAGCTCCTTTTAGCTGGTGAACCTATTCCTAATTGATAAACAGGTCAAGTCACTTAACTTCATCATGTTTCATTTTTCTTCAAAGAAAAAGACACACACACACACACACACACACACACAGAGAGAGAGAGAGAGAGAAAGAGAGAGAGAGAGAATGCATACTATGTTATGATTTTTAATGTAGCCACAATTCTGTTTTCGTTTCAAGTTGAATGTTATTTGGGTTAAGGAGGATGGTGTGTGTTTGCATGTTTGGGACACAATATTAGATGCTTTACAAGTAATAAATCTACTTTATGAAATGGATAATTATTGCCCTTGTTTATATAGGTAGTGAAATTGAAGCTTATTGGGGGTATATTGATCAAAGCCAAACAACCAGTGAGTGGTAAAACCTGGTTTTGATTTTAGATACTTGATGTGGATGGCAATGCTTTCATTATGTACCTCACCATATTCTAGAATGATAATGTGATCATAAATTAGTCACAATTAACCTAGACTGTTTATATTGAGTTGTAAAAATCTGGGCATGTTTGTAGGCTTAAAGGAAACAGGCAGGAGAAAAAGAGAGACTGACGATGCACCAGTCTGTGATCAAAAGCCCTGAGGTAACGAGCTACATCTCTTCCTCCAGGAGGAAGAAGGCAGAGGTGCTCTCTTGTGCCTCAGTGGTGGATGGGGACCAAAGGAGGGTATTTCCTTCTGATACTCTGTGTGTCTCCAGGTAGTTGGAATTGAAGGCATCTGACAAATGTTAGACAAACACGAGTGATTGAGATTGAAGAAAGACTGGAGTAGTTACTGTGGAGAATGCAAAAGGATGGTTATTCAAGGTACAGGGACCCCGGTAAGCAGGGGAGGGCAGCTGCTTTTGTGGTCAATGTCCTCTTTGTTCAAGCAATAGGTCTTTTAATGCACTCACGAACTACACTCGCAAACTCTTTATGTATCTTGAATTAATTGCCCAGTCAAAAAACAATTTTTCCCATTCAGTCGTTTGATCATACTTGTCCGAATTTACCACAACTATTTACTTAGTTTGATGGCCTTCATATTAAATTAAAGAATGAGTAGAGCCCAGAGAGCCTAAATTTATAGTGATTAATATTTTCACTTGCCAGAGGCCTGAAAGAGTATCTTGCTTCAAGTAGATGTGTACTGGGAATTTCCTGGCTGAAGCCAATTGACATCCATGAGTTAGGTTTGCATTCCTTAGCAACGCGCTCTGACATTTCATTGCTTTGACTTTCCTAGTGCTTTACCAGCTTTATGAATGATGGATGAGCATTCCTTTAAAGTCTTATCTATCCTGTGTGTCCTTGACCTAACACTTTGTATCGATGGATATTTCAGCTTCTCCTTGATGGCAGGATTGATCATCACAACCCTTTTCTGACAATTGACCTAGGAGCACAGGAGGCAAAGAATAATTGACAGAAGGTATAGAATTACAACCTTGACAGCCAACATTATCTACAGAAGAAGGAGAAACAGGTAGATCCGAGAATAATCAATGCCTAGGAGGAACCAGAAATGATAGGACAATATAGATACATAGAAAAAGACCCAACTAAAGAGTTTTAGACCAAAAATAAGCATGTAGTTCAAAGGACAGTGGTCAGCTGAAATACGATAAAGTGTATACAGTAAGTTACAAATCTTGGAAATATTATGTAAACTGTTTGGAAAGGAAGTCAGAATCTTCAAAGAATCTGATAACGCAGAGCAAGATAGTACAAAATTAGTTCAGCTCTTCAGATATACCAATATCAGAAACCTGAGGGACATTTATTGACTATTGATTACAGGATGACTTAATTGTTAGATAAACTTCTCCACCTGTGAGAATCATCTTCTGAATTTCCTGTCTGAATGGGAAAAAGATCTAGTACATGATTAATATTTGATCTGCAAGTAGATAGGTTTGTATACTTCTGATATCAAACTTTGAATCATGTGTGTGTATCTGCATCCAAACTAGAGCCTTGATTTAGAACAATTTCTGGCTCTCCCAGATTTACTGTACTTTCCCACATTTAATGTATTCCATTCACTTGCTTGAGGAATAAATTAATTGTACTTGCAGAATTCTTCATTTTACCCAATCCTTTAATTTAAATAGTGAAAAAATCATCTTTGATAGCCCACTTCTAAGTTTTAGTTTTTATATAATGCTTTGATGTACTTGATTCTGTATTTTTCAGGAATTTCCTGCTGAGATAATTTACCACCTTCAGAGTATAGACTTGTCTTCTATTAATCTATAGAGGAAAGCTATGCATCCCTCCAGCAAACTATGAATATGTCCAAAAAGTGTTTTCAGGTAGAGCACTGTGATTATTTTAGATGACTGGAATGCACTAAAACATGAATTCCACTCTATTGAATATTTAAAAACCCACTTAGAGCTTCTGTCTATGGCATTTGTATATTTTCAATATCTGTGACTGTAAGCTATAATTTAGGTCCCTTAATTTCCAGCAATATTTGTACCGGGTACCCTTCAATGATTCTGACCAATGATTAACTTGTACAGTTAACTACTTATTATGAATGTTGAGATGAGAAACAAATCATATCTGTCCTCATAATTGCAAGTTCTTTCACTCAAGCCTGATTAATTTGTAATGTGAATGTGTGAAGAAAAATTCCTTGTCAAGTGTCAAAACAAAGGTTTTAAGAATAAACTTATTTTTGGACAGGCAACCAAAATAATTATACACAATAATCTAAGGAATGGATAAGATTAGCAACTACATGTATTGTAATTTTATTTTGACATCGATTCTCAACATCATATTAGTTATACTTAGGTATTTGTAATTAAAAAGTTGTCAATATTATAGGCATGTCTGTGTACAAGCAGATGAGGATGCACACCTTTACTATAGAAAGAACATGGAGCAAACATTGATGCTGGAATGTCAAGGTTCAGTGACATGTAAGACAATGTATCTCAAGTATGAGATTAATTGTGCACTTCTCTCTGTCAGCTTCAGTTGTTGAATTTGGATTTGAATGATTTCTACAGTATTTCAGAAAATAACTTTTTCATTTATTAATAAAGTGTATTTACAATTTTCACCAAGGAATCTTTGTAAGTATGGTAACCTTCTATTCTGTCATCTTTTATCTTTGGAAATGAAGATCGTAGCTTAAATTGATTAGTCTTCAAAAGGTTTGGCTCATGATTAACTACATTATCAAATTGTATTATGCAAGACTGATGTCAATTTCTCTAATTGGAGCATGAGATCACTTTTAAAATTTATTAAGTGTTTATTTTCCAGTTTATAACCTATTACAACTAATAATTTTAGAGCTGCTGTCTATGGCCTACAGAGTAACACTATTAATATTAATTTCTCCCTTTCAAGTTTATCTTTTCATCTTTTTTATTACCTTTCTTTTCTACTTTTTCCCTTTATTCCCTCCTACAATTAAATGACACAGCCTCTTAGCCTACTAAACCTGGAAAGAAGCTCTTGAGCCATTCACTGTAGCCCTTCCAGAAGGTCTATTCACAAAGCCTGGCTGAAAATTCAGGCTTTACATCTGTGTTAGTCTGAATTCTTCAGAGAAAGAGAAGTCAGTAACTCCTACATGGAGAGCAAGGAAGACATATTTTTCCTAAAGTTTTCTTTATCAGATCACTTCTGACCTTAAGAAAAAGAATATCTAAGGCGAAGTTAATATTCTGACGCCTGCCTAAAAGAGGACGTGTGCTCATAAAGTGCATTCTAGATAGAGAGTAAGTGGATGATATGAAATCTCATATCATATTAAACATGGATCAAATAATTTAACTACTTTAGTAATTACAAGTTCAGAGATGTTACCACAGTCCAAAAATCTAAGAAAGGAGATAAGAGTTCACAGGCAAACTAGATTGACTACCAGTTGAAACTTTTAGTCATTTAAATTGTTGATAGGCACACTCCTAGAGCTTCAGATAGAGCCTCTTTAATGAAAGGTCTCTCATTCCTGAATACTAAATGCTTGCCAGAAAAGAGTTAAAGAATGGCAAGGGAATTCTGCATAGGTAAGTAGAAAGCTTCTGGAGTAATACTAGGTGAGTTTTGAAATAACACCGTTATTTACAACTGGGGATTCTATTTTATTCTTCCCTTTGATTTTTTTTTATATAGTCTTTGGTGAGCTATATTGGCCAATAAAGCTGGAAATGAGATACTAGATATAATAGGTTAGTGAATTTCAGCCTAGGATACAATGTGGCTTTTGAATTCTTTTGCCTCATGTCTTATTTGGATTCCTTTTTTTTATGGAAAAATTTTTTTTTATTATACTTTAAGTTTTAAGGTACATGTGCACAACATGCATGTTAGTTACATATGTATACATGTGCCATGCTGGTGTGCTGCACCCATTAACTCATCATTTAACATTAGGTATATCATCTAATGCTATCCCTCCCCCCTCCCCCCACCCCACAACAGGCCCCGGTGTGTGATGTTCCCCTTCCTGTGTCCATGTGTTCTCATTGTTCAATTCCCACCTATGAGTGAGAACATGCGGTGTTTGGTTTTTTGTCCTTGTGATAGTTTGCTGAGAATGATGGTTTCCAGCTTCATCCATGTCCCTACAAAGGACATGAACTCATCCTTTTTTATGGCTGCATAGTATTCCATGGTGTATATGTGTCACATTTTCTTAATCCAGTTTATCATTGATGGACATTTGGGTTGGTTCCAAGTCTTTGCTATTGTGAATAGTGCCACAATAAACATAGGTATGCATGTGTCCTTATAGCAGCATGATTTATAATCCTTTGGGTATATACCCAGTAATGGGATGGCTGGGTCAAATGGTATTTCTAGTTCTAGATCCCTGAGGAATCCCCACACTGACTTCCACAATGGTTGAACTAGTTTGCAGTCCCAACAACAGTGTAAAAGTGTTCCTATTTCTCCACATCCTCTCCAGCACCTGTTGTTTCCTGACTTTTTAATGATCGCCATTCTAGCTGGTGTGAGATGGTATCTCATTGTGGTTTTGATTTGCATTTCTCTGATGGCCAGTGATGATGGGCATTTTTTCATGCGTCTTTTGGCTGCATAAATGTCTTCTTTTGAGAAGTGTCTGTTCATATCCTTCGCCCACTTTTTGATGGGGTTGTTTGTTTTTTTCTTGTAAATTTGAGTTCATTGTAGATTCTGGATATTAGCCCTTTGTCAGATGAGTAGATTGCAAAAATCTTCTCCCATTCTGTAGGCTGCCTGTTCACACTGATGGTAGTTTCTTTTGCTGTGCAGAAGCTCTTTAGTTTAATTAGATCCCATTTGTCAATTTTGGCTTTTGTTGCCATTGCTTTTGGTGTTTTAGACATGAAGTCCTTGTCCATGCCTATGTCCTCAATGGTGTTGCATAGGTTTTCTTCTAGGGTTTTTATGGTTTCAGGTCTAACATTTAAGTCTTTAATCCATCTTGAATTAATTTTTGTATAAGGTGTAAGGAAGGCATCCAGTTTCAGCTTTCTACATATGGCTAGCCAGTTTTCCCAGCACCATTTATTAAATAGGGAATCCTTTCCCCATTTCTTGTAGTTGTCACGTTTGTCAAAGATCAGATGGTTGTAGATATGTGGTATTATTTCTGAGGGCTCTGTTCTGTTCCATTGGTCTATAACTCTGTTTTGGTACCAGTACCATGCTGTTTTGGTTACTGTAGCCTTGTAGTATAATTTGAAGTCAGGTAGCATGATGCCTCCAGCTTTGTTCTTTTGGCTTAGGATTGACTTGGCAATGCAGGCCCTTTTTTGGTTCCATATGAACTTTAAAGTAGTTTTTTCCAATTCTGTGAAGAAAGTCATTGGTAGCTTGATGGGGATGGCCTTGAATCTATAAATTACCTTGGGCAGTATGGCCATTTTCACGATATTGATTCTTCCTACCCATGAGCATGGAATGTTCTTCCACTTGTTTGTATCCTCTTTTATTTCACTGAGCAGTGGTTTGTAGTTCTTCTTGAAGAGGTCCTTCATGTCCTTTGTAAGTTGGATTCCTAGGTATTATATTCTCTTTGAAGCAACTGTGAATGGGAGTTCACTCATGATTTGTCTCTGTTTGTCTGTTATTGGTGTATAAGAATGCTTGTGATTTTTGCACATTGATTTTGTATCCTGAGACTTTGCTGAAGTTGCCTATCAGCTTAAGGAGATTTTGGGCTGAGACAATGGGGTTTTCTAGATATACAATCATGTCATCTGCAAACAGGGACAATCTGACTTCCTCTTTTCCTAATTGAGTACCCTTTATTTCCTTCTCCTGCCTGATTGCCCTGGCCAGAACTTCCAACACTATGTTGAATAGGAGTGGTGAGAGAGGGCATCGCTGTCTTGTACCAGTTTTCAAAGGGAATGCTTCCAGTTTTTGCCCATTCAGTATGATATTGGTTGTGGGTTTATCATAGTTAGCTCTTATTATTTTGAGATACGTCCCATCAATACCTAATTTATTGAGAGTTTTTAGCATGAAGTGTTGTTGAATTTTGTCAAAGGCCTTTTCTGCATCTATTGAAATAATCATATGGATTTTGTCGTTGGTTCTGTTTATATGCTGGATTACATTTATTGATTTTCGTATGTTGAACCAACCTTGCATCCCAGGGATGAAGCCCACTTGATCATGGTGGATAAGCTTTTTGATGTGCTGCTGGATTCGGTTTGCCAGTATTTTATTGAGGATTTTTGCATCAATGTTCATCAGGGATATTGGTCTAAAATTCTCTTTTTTTGTTGTGTCTCTGCCAGGCTTTGGTATCAGGATGATGCTGGTTTCATAAAATGAGTTAGAGAGGACTCCCTCTTTTTCTATTGATTGGAATAGTTTCAGAAGGAATGGTACCAGCTCCTCCTTGTACCTCTGGTAGAATTCGGCTGTGAATCCATCTGGTCCTGGACTTTTTTTGGTTGGTAAGCTATTAATTATTGCCTGAATTTCAGAGCCTGTTATTGGTCCATTCAGAGATTCAACTTCTTCCTGGTTTAGTCTTGGGAGGGTGTGTGTGTCCAGGAGTTTATCCATTTCTTCTAGATTTTCTAGTTTATTTGCATAGAGGTGTTTATAGTATTCTCTGATGGTAGTTTGTATTTCTGTGGGATCGGTGGTGATATCCCCTTTGTCATTTTTTATTGCATCTATTTGATTCTTCTCTCTTTTCTTCTTTATTAGTCTTGCTAGCAGTCTATCAATTTTGTTGATCTTTTCAAAAAACCAGCTCCTGGATTCATTGATTTTTTTGAAGGGTTTTTTGTGTCTCTATTTCCTTCGGTTCTGCTCTGATCTTAGTTATTTCTTGCCTTCTGCTAGCTTTTGAATGTGTTTTCCCTTGCTTCTCTAGTTCTTTTAATTGTGATGTTAGGGTGTCAATTTTAGATCTTTCCTGCTTTCTCTTGTGGGCATTTAGTGCTATAAATTTCCCTCTACACACTGCTTTGAATGTGTCCCAGAAATTCTGGTATGTTGTGTCTTTGTTCTCGTTGGTTTCAAAGAACATCTTTGTTTCTGCCTTCATTTCGTTATGTACCTAGTAGTCATTCAGGAGCAGGTTGTTCAATTTCCATGTAGTTGAGAGGTTTTGAGTGAGTTTCTTAATCCTGAGTTCTAGTTTCATTGCACTGTGGTCTGAGAGATAGTTTGTTATAATTTCTGTTCTTTTACATTTGCTGAGGAGTGCTTTACTTTCAACTATGTGGTCAATTTTGGAATAAGTGCGGTATGGTGCTGAGAATGTATATTCTGTTGATTTGGGGTGGAGAGTTCTGTAGATGTCTATTAGGTCCGCTTGATGCAGAGCTGAGTTCAATTCCTGGATATCCTTGTTAACTTTCTGTCTCGTTGATCTGTCTAATGTTGACAGTGTGGTGTTAAAGTCTCTCATTATTATCGTGTGGGAGTTTAAGTCGCTTTGTGTGTCTCTAAGGACTTGCTTTATGAATCTGGGTGCTCCTGTATTGGGTGTATATACATTTAGGATAGTTAGCTCTTCTTGTTGAATTGATCTCTTTACCATTATGTAATGGCCTTCTTTGTCTCTTTTGATCTTTGTTGGTTTAAAGTCTGTTTTATCAGAGACTAGGATTGCAATGCCTGCCTTTTTTTGTTTTCCATTTGCTTGGTAGATCTTCCTCCATTCCTTTATTTTGAGCCTATGTGTGTCTCTGAATGTGAGATGGGTTTCCTGAATACAGCACACTGATGGGTCTTGACTCTTTATCCAATTTGCCAGTCTGTGTCTTTTAAATGGAGCATTTAGCCCATTTACATTTAAGGTTAATATTGTTATGTATGAATTCAATCCTGTCATTATAATGTTAGCTGGTTATTTTGCTCGTTAGTTGATGCAGTTTCTTCCTAGCCTTGATTGTCTTTACAATTTGGCATGTTTTTGCAGTGGCTGGTACCTGTTGTTCCTTTCCATGTTTAGTGCTTTCTTCAGGAGCTCTTTTAGGGCAGGCCTGGTGGTGACACAATCTCTCAGCATTTGCTTGTCTGTAAAGGATTTTGTTTCTCCTTCACTTATGAATCTTAGTTTGGCTGGATATGAAATTCTGTGTTGAAAATTCTTTTCTTTAAGAATGTTGAATATTGGCCCCCACTCTCTTCTGGCTTGTAGAGTTCCTGCCAAGAGATCAGCTGTTAGTCTGTTGGGCTTCCCTTTGTGGGTAACCCGATCTTTCTCTCTGGCTGCCCTTAACATTTTTTCCTTCATTTTCAACTTTGGTGAATCTGACAATTATGTGTCTTGGAGTTGCTCTTCTCGAGGAGTATCTTTGTGGTGTTCTCTGTATTTCCTGAATTTGAATGTTGGCCTGCCTTGCTAGATTGGCGAAGTTCTGGATAATATTGTGCAGAGTGTTTTCCAACTTGGTTCCATTCTCCCCGTCACTTTCAGGTACACCAATCAGACGTAGATTTGGTCTTTTCACATAGTCACATATTTCTTGGAGGCTTTGTTCATTTCTTTTTATTCTTTTTCCTCTAAACTTTTCTTCTCACTTCATTTCATTAATTTCATCTTCCGTCACTGATACCCTTTCTTCCAGTTAATCGAATTGGCTACTGAGGCTGTGCATTTGTCACGTAGTTCTCGTGCCTTGGTTTTCAGCTCCATCAGGTCCTTTAAGGACTTCTCTGCATTGGTTATTCTAGTTAGCCATTCGTCTAATTTTTTTTCAAGGTTTTTAACTTCTTTGCCATGGGTTCGAACTTCCTCCTTTAGCTCGGAGTAGTTTGATCGTCTGAAGCCTTCTCTCAACTCGTCAAAGTCATTCTCCATCCAGCTTTGTTCCGTTGCTGGTGAGGAGCTGTGTTCCTTTGGAGGAGGAGAGGCGCTCCGATTTTTAGAGTTTCCAGTTTTTCTGCTCTGTTTTTTCCCCATCTTTGTGGTTTTATCTACCTTTAGTCTTCGATGATGGTGACGTACAGATGGGGTTTTGGTGTGGATGTCGTTTCTGTTTGTTAGTTTTCCTTCTAACAGTCAGGATCCTCAGCTGCAGGTCTGTTGGAGTCTGCTGGAGGTCCACTCCAGACCCTGTTTTCCTGGGTGTCAGCAGCGGAGGCTGCAGAACAGCGGATACTGGTGAGCAGCAAATGTTGCTGCCTGATCTTTCCTTTGGAAGTTTTGTCTCAGAGGAGTACCCAGCCGTGTGAGGTGTCAGTCTGCCCCTGCTGGGGGGTGCCTCCCAGTTAGGCTACTCGGGAGTCAGGGACCTACTTGAGGAGGCAGTCTGTCCGTTCTCAGATCTCCAGCTGCTGCATGCTGGGAGAACCACTACTCTCTTCAAAGCTCAGTTGGAAATGCAGAAATCACTCATCTTCTGCGTCGCTCACTCTGGGAGCTCTAGACTGGAGCTGTTCCTATTCGACCCTCTTGGCTCCACCTTCCCTCTTAAACAGTTTTATACATGAAACACAAGTTTTACAATCTCACTGGTGTAATATATTTATTTAAACTATAATAAAAAGGCATTAATTAAAATGACACTGGCGAGAAATTTGTGATGCCATCTTATTTTTTCTAAATGCTTATCTGACCAGAGATAATTAGTAAACATTAAAAAGTGCACAGAAGTGTAATTTTTAAAATGCCTATTATAACCAATTTTACCTGGAAAATCACACTCAATAAAAGTGTGCTTCTTGGGAACTATTATTCATCAAAGAGAAAATAATATATAAAATTAATTATCTCTGTTATAATAGGATTTCCAAACAACCATATCAGCTCTGTCTTCTCTTGGCTACAAACGACCAAAATGCCAAAGTCTTCCCCAACCAAGCATTCTGGTGTTAAAATCATTCAAATTTTCTTGAGGAAACTGCACCAATATTGCTGGGCTCTAACACATAAGAGACTGTTGGAGGAGAATGGAAGCATTTAGTAGAGCACCTCACATACTATTAGTGATCAAGTAATTTTTGGTGATTAGTAAACAACTTTGATAGTAAAAAATGTGATTCAAAATGTATCCTAAGACTCAATGGTAAAACCCATACATACCCAAACAACCCATTCTCTATTTAGAAAAATTATCTTAATAGAAAGTCTCACCACCTCAACGCTATATAATATACAATTAATTATATACCATGTTCCAGAAATAAAAAGAAAACGTTATAGTTGAAAGGATTGTGGTAACAAAAAAGGAACTATGCATAGAATATTTTTAAAAATCAGTGTTTCCTATTCCAAATAAGCCAGAGAAATGTGATAATCTTATTAAGATATCTTTAAAGAACCGATAACACTCAAACCTGAGTTTCATGACACAAGCCCGAAGTTCAATTTGCTTTTGCTGATTCTATGTTAATAGAGAAATTTGGCTTTTGCAGTAGATTTCTCTACAGGCACAAAATGCCCTGTCCAGAAGACATGAGTATACATCCACATTGACTTCTCTATTGTAAATAAATAATCTGTTCTCTGTTTAAAATTAGGTGGCATTTTAATGTGTGCTTGTTTTTTGATTTGGTCAATGTGAACCATTTGCTCAAGTTCTATCAATACTGTTCACAAAAACAAAACTGTTTGTCAAAAAGAATACCAGATTCCGGCCAAGAGGAATTAGCTGAAAAGTTCTTGCCTGAGGAACTGGCAAATTTACTTCTATTACATTGCCTTTTAAATGCCTCCATTTGTTTAATAATACTGTTTCAATAATTGAGCCAACATTTATTGATTGCTTATTATAAGATAGGTAGACACTGTGTCAGATAATATAAAAATGAAGAATACGTAGTCCTACTAAGTGTGTTACCAAAACACCAGGGGTTTGGTCTAGGTCCTGCTGCTCACTGCACAGAAAGCCAATCACTGAGATGACAAGTATTGCCAAAGAAGAACTCTTTAATCGGGTACTGCAGCCAAGGAGATAGGAGCTCAAGTCTCAAATCCATCTCCCTGACTAACTAAAACAAGAGGTTTATATAGCATGGAAGAAATGTAACATTGTGTAATAAAACTGGAACTATGGAGGGGCAAAGAGGCATCTGGTGCTGTGATTAGGTGAGCTTCAATTCTTTAATACTTTTTTTGAGAAGCCTGAAGGTCTTTTCCTGAGGAAGAAACTCAGATAAAACAAATACAGGTTTCAAGCTTCAACAGCAGAAGGGTTAATGTCTATGTTTATCCAAAATAACAATCTATGGGAGTATTGGGTTGGTTTCAAGTAAAGCTCTATCCAGTTTAGGAAACTAAAATATGATAAGTGAACATGGCTTATGTGATAAATGCTTCCATGCAGGTGAATACAGGATAGTCTGGGAACATAATACAAGCAGTGGGGAGGAAAGTAAATTAGCATTTTCCAATTCAGATCTCACATAGGCTTGCAGAGAAGGGGATCTTCTCTTAGAGTTCTGCTCTTCCCTAGGATGAGACACTACTGATATTTAGTGTGGGGGTTAAGGCGAAAGATCCAGAGATATGCAAATAAGTCACACAAATAAAATTGTCACATATTCATGTTCACCCAAGCACTCATGCAGGTGCAAATAGGTAATTATCTGAGTCTTATTCTTAATTCCATTAAACTAGAATTATCTTTTATACTTTTGATATTCATTTGATTTTGTATAAATAACAATATGAGGTAATTTAAAGGAAGATCATTACAATACTTTGTTGGATAATGAGTTTTTATCATTTTGGAAAATAATATCCCCAGTAGAAAAGCCATTGATGGCATTTTTAACTGCAGTAAAAGCATACTTTGTATATGATTTTCAGTAAAAGTATGCTTGTATGATTCTGCATTTGCCGCTGTTATATTTATGTGACCTTACTTATTAGGTATAAATATGTCTTATCATGTCTTGTCCTGCGTGGTTGTGCTTCAGCATTAACATGTTAAAATACACATTACATTTTGTTATTATTTTGATTTCTTTTCTATGTTTCCATTAAAAGATTTTATTAATTTATTTTAAATTGTATGTAGGTAGCTTATAAGAATTTTACTTCATGATAAAAGTAACTATAATTTTTTTGGCATTTAGGTTCAAGAATACATGTGTGGGTTTGTGATTGGTAAACTCTGTGTCATGGGGGTTTGGTGTGCAGATTATTTCACCATCCATGTAATAAGCTTAGTATCTGATAGGTAGTTTTCCAATTCTCACCCTCGCCCCTCATCCAACCTCAAGTAGGCCTTAGTGTCTGTTTTTCCCTTCTTTGTGCCCATGTGTAATCAGTGTTTAGCTCCCACTTGTAAGTGAGAACATGCAGTTCTCACTTTTCTGTTCCTTTGTTAATTCGCTTAGGATAATGGCCTGTAGCTCCATTCATTTTCCTGCAAAGACATGATCTTGTTCTTTGTTATGGCTGTGTAGTATTCCATGGGACAATGGACCACATTTTTTTAATGCAGTCTATTGTTGATAGGCATTTAGGTTAGTTCCATGTCTTTGCTATTGTGAATAGTGCTTTGATGAACACATGTGTGCATGTGTCTTTATGGCAGAATGATTTCTCTCCTTTGGGTATATACCCAATAATATGATTGCTGAGTTGAACGGTAATTCTACTTTAAGTTCTTTGAGAAATCACCACACTGGTTTACACAATGACTGAAGTAATTAACCTTCCCACCAGCAGTGTATAAGTATTCCATTTTCTCTGCAACCTCACCAGCTTCTGTCATTTTTTGACTTTTTGTTGATAGCCATTTTGACTGGTGTGAGATGGTATCACACTGTGGTTTTGAGTTGCATTTCTTTAATGATTTTTGATGCTGAACACTTTCTTCATATGCTTGTTAGCTGTGTGTGGTATTCTTTTGAGAAGTGTCCATTCATGTCTTTTTAAATGGGGCTGCTTGTTTTTTTGCTTGTTAATTTGTTTAAGTTCCTAATAGATTCTGGATATTAGAACTTTGTTTGATGTATAGTTCACAAATACTTTCTCCCATTCTATACTTTGTACATTTACTCTGTTGATAGTTTCTTTTGCTGTGCAGAGACTCTTCAGTTGAATTAAGTCCCATTTGTCAATTTTTTTGTTGCAATTGCTTTTGGCAGTGGCATCATGAACTATTTGCCAGATCTTCTGTCCAGAATGGCATATCCTAGGATATTTCCCAGGGTTTTTATAGTTTTGGGTTTCACACTTATGTTTTAAATTCATCTTGAGTTGATTTTTGTATATGGTGTAAGGAAGGGGTCCAGTTTCAATCTTCTGCATACGGCTAGCCAGTTTTCATTTATTGAATCATCAGCATCATTTATTGAATAGTGAGTCCTTTTACAATTGCTTGTTTTTGCCTACTTTGTTGAAGATCAGATGACTGTAGGGGTGCAACAATATTTCTGGGCTCTCTACTTTGTTCCATTGGTCTGTGTGTCTGTTTTTGTACCAGTACCTTGCTGTTTTGGTTACTGTAAACTTGTAGTATAGTTTGAAGTCAGGTAATGTAATGCCTCTAGATTTGTTCATTTTGCTGAGGATTGTCTTGGGTATTTGAGCTCTTTTTCAGTTCCATATCATTTTTAAATAGTTCATTCTAATTTTGTGAAGAATGTCATTGGTAGTTTGATAGGAATAGCATTTAATATGTAAATTTCTTTGGGTAGTATGGGCATTTTAATAATATTGATTCTTCCTATCTATGACTTGAATGTTTTTATATTTGTTTTTTCATCTTTGATTTCTTTCAGCAGTGTTTTGTAATTCTCATTCTAGAGATTTTCACTTCCCTGGTTAGCAGTATTCCTAGGTATTTTATCCTTCCATGGCTATTGTGAATGGGATTGTGATCTTGATTTGGCTCTCAGCTTGGACATTGTTGGTGTATAGGATTGCTACTAATTTTTATACATTTATTTTGTATCCCAAAACTTTGCTGAAGTTTAGGACTTCCAGTACTATGTTAAATAGAAGTGATGAGACTGGACATCCTGGTATTGTTCTAGTTCTCAAGGGGAATGCAGCCAGCTTTTGTCCATTCAGTATGATGGTGATAGGTTTATCATAGATGGCTCTTATTATTTTGAAGAATATTCCTTCAAAGCCTAGTTTGTTGAAGGTTTTTAATATGAAGGAATATGGATTTTTATTAAAAACCTTTTCAGCATTTCTTGAGTAAATCATGTGTTTGTGTGTGTGTGTGTGTTTTGGTTCTATTTACATGATGAATCACATTTATTGATTTGTGTATGTTGAACCAACCTTGTTTCCTAGGGATAAAACCTACTTGATCATTGTGGATTTTTTTACACGCTGCTGGATTTGGTTTGCTAGTATTTTGTTGGAGCTTTTGCATCTATGTTCAGCGAGAATATTTGCCTGAAGTTTTCTGCTTTTGTTGTGTCTCTGTCAGGTTTTGCTATCAGGATGATGTTAACTTTATAGAATAAGTTACAGAGAAATTCCTCCGCCTCAATTTTTTTGGAATAGTTCCAATAGGAATGATACCAGCTCTTCTTTGTACAACTGGTATAATTCATCTGTGAATCTGTCTGGTTCTGGGGTGTTTGTTTGTTTGTTTTTAGTTTTTGGTTGGCAGGCTATTTATTATTAATTCAATTTCAGATCCCTGAAAATACCAATATCATTATCGGTCTTTTTGGGGATTTAATTTCTTCCTGTTTCCATCTTGGGAGGTTGTATGCTTCCAGGAATGTATACATTTCTTCTAGGTTTTCTAGCTTGTGTGCATAGAGTTGTTCCTAGTTGCCTCTGAGGGATTTTTGTATTTCTATGGGGTCAGTAGTAATGTCTCCTTTGTCATTTCTGATTGCGTTTATTTGGATCTTCTCTCTTATTTTCTTTATTAGTCTAGCTATTGATCTATGTTATTAATTCTTTCAGAAAACCAACTCATGGATTTATTGATCTTTTGTGTAGTTTTTTGTTTCTCAATGTCCTTCAGTTAAGCTCTGACTTTGATTATTTCTTGTCTTCTGCTAGCTTTGGTGTTGTTATGCTCTTGTTTCTCTAGTTCCTCTAGTTGTAATGTTAGGTTGTTCATTTGAGATCTTTTAAACCTTTTGATGTGGGTGTTTAGTGCTATATATTTCTCTGTTAATACTGCTTTAGCTGTGTCACAGAGATTCTTGTATGTTGTATCTTTCTTCTTATTTTTCCAAAATATTTCTTGATTTCTGTCTTAATTTCATTATTTACCCAGAAGTCATTCAGGAGCAGGTTGTTTAGTCTCCATGTAACTGTATGATTTTGAGTAATTTTCTTATTATTGATCTCTATTTTATTGTGCTGTGGACCAAGAGTGCAGTTGGTATGATTTTAATTTTTTGAATTTGCTGATGCTGAGGATTGTTTTATGTTTGATTGTGTAGTCAATTTTAGAGTATGATCCATGTGCAGATGAGAAGAATGTATACTCTTTTGTTTTGAGATGGAGAGTTCCATAGATACCTGTTAGGTGCATTTGGTCAAGTGTTGAGTTCCTAAATATGTTTGTTAGTTTTCTGCCCCAATGATCTGTCTAACACTGTCAATGGGTTGTTGAATTCTTCCACTATTATTGTGTATTTATCTAAGTATCTTCATTGGTGTGTAAGAACTTGCTTTATGAATCTGGGTGGTCCCGTGTTGGGGGCATATATATTTAGGATAATTCGTGTTTTCGTTGAATTGAGCCATTTACCATTATGTAATGCCCTTCCTTGTCTTTTTTGATCTTTGCTGGTTTAAAGTCTGTTTTGTCCGAAATTAAAATAGCAATCCCTGCTTTTTTCTGATTTCTTCTTGCTGGGTAGATTTCTCTTTATCTCTTTACATTGAGTACCTTCATTACTACTGCCCTGGTAGGCAGTAGCCCTGGGCGGGGTTCCCACTTCCTCTCTTTCAGTCCAGCATCTGTGTCCTCTCCCCAACCACTCTCAGTGCCTTCTCTCCAAAAATTTGCTTGGAGTGTGCCAGTCTTCCCAATGTCCCAGTCCCTCAGTGGAAGATGTTCCTACTGGCTGCATCTAGTTGGCCATCTTGCCTCCCTTCACATTCCTAAAAATATTTGTTTTTAAAAGAGAGTTTTGTGTTGGTTAAGGGGTAGGGGGCTAGGGGAGGGATAACCTTAGGAAAAATACCTAATGTAGAAGACAGGTTGATGGGTGCAGCAAACCACCATGGCACGTGTATACCTATGTAACAAACCCGCATGTTCTACACATGTATCTCAGAACTTAAAGTACAATTTTAAAAAACAGACTTTTTTTTAGTAGTGTTCACAACTAAGTAATAAACAAACAAATTTATAGGTCTAGGAAAGGATGAGTACCTTTAGGGCAACTGAGAATTTATAAAATTTGATTGTAGAAAGGAGGTGGGAGTCAGATTACCAAGAGCTTTGTTACCAAGGAAAGAAAACTTCATTCTAATTCCATTTATCCTTCAGACCTGCTTTCTCCTGTGTCTGCCTCAATAATGATTTGAGATCTGGCTAGTTTAATTGAGTTCTTGTTGCTAATTATGTTATCCTAGTGTTTGTAACCTAATAGGTTCATATTTAAAGTAATTACACCTTTTGATTTGGAGGTATACTTCCAAAATATTACTTATGATAAATATTTTATTAGACCCAGATTTTTATATAAATAATTAGAAGTTTTGGTTTGGGGGTACATCATCTGTTAAGTAGTTTGCTGTTTTTTTTTTTTTAACTATTTGTTTTGCTTTCACTTTCTTTCATCTAAATATAAAAAATAATGATGTGGGTATTTTTTGTTTTGCCCTAGGTTGTTCTGTATTTTTTTTCAACATATTAGCTGTCCAAGGGAAAAAGATAGAAGCAGAGCCATGATAAGCAAATGAAAAAATTTAAAAATATATATTTATAGTAACAAGGTCTAAATTGGGAGAATATCTGGTTTTCCAAAATGAATACAAGGGACTCTAGAAAAATAATGAAAAACATTCAACAATAACAGTCAGCTGATGGTGAGTTCAAAATAATCTCTCTAAAAATCTGTCTATTTTATTCTAAATTTTTTAAAAGAAACTCTTTTCTATTTGCTCTTTATCTTCACAAGCAGTTTACACTCCTATTCTTTATGGCACTTTTCTTCATCTCTCAAGAATTTATCTTATCCTCAAGATTTTATTAATAGCAAATAGAGCATCCTTATACAATTACAAATATACAGTTCAGGTCCAGGGAGGATGAATTTGTACCTTTCTCTAGAGCCAGGTTGACTGCTATAATTATTTTTCTAAAGCTCAAAAAATGCAAACAGAAATTTGATTCAGAGTTCAGGAATGTGTTCAATCCTTAATTGTTCTAGATAACTTAGACAACCTAACAATCAACAGGTTCACTTAATCATGAGCTCCTCAGACAGGAGAACATGAATACAGTCAGGAGGCTAGAAAAGGGTAGGAAAAGATTATAATATTTCCACTGTCTATAAATTTTTATGGTCTGGAGGAGGCAAAAATAAAATTGCAAATAACTGAAGTGTACTAATGAAATTTGGCATATGGAGGGATGAAATGATGCAATAAATACAATACAAAGGCCTCTCCCATAAAACAAAAATATTTTTTCTACGTTCTCTATGAGTTGCAAAAGAATACCTACTGGACATGCGTAAAGATTTTTAAAAACCTGTATATGTATATACAGTACTTTTGCACGTTAAATATGCAGTTAACCCTTGAACAACATGCGTTTGAATGGACTGGACTTACTTATATGCCGATTTTTTTCATCCAAAGGTAACTGAAAATATATTATACACAGGATGTGAAATCTTCATGTATGGACGATCAGCTTTTTGTATACACAGATTTAGCAGGTCAGACTGTGGGATTTGAGTAAGCATGGAGTTTGGTATATGTGGGTGGTCCTGGAACCAATTCACCAAGTATATTGAGGGATTACTTTATTATTTGATTTTCTGTAAGTATAATTACCATCTACTTCAAAGAAAATTTCTGTATAATTTTGTTTAAAATTCTGTTGTTTTTCATCATTTTGATAAATAATATCACCTAAAGCAATGCTGTCCACATTATTTCTATTGGTAAAAAACACACAATTTTATTAGAATTTATTTATAATTTTCAGTCACAGGGTTTGACTTACAAGTGCAATTATCTGCCTTAATATCATTTTTAAATTGTGCCAAGCATTTTATGCATTAAAATACATATTTTATTATCAATTTTTTTCTTTTGGTTTATAGTTCCTGTTTCTGTTTTGTTGAATTTCTTTATAAACTTGTATGTGAAGATAGAATACGTTATCTACAAAAATCACTAAAGGTTTTTTAAATTCTGATAAAGCATTTATCATGAAAGCAGAGCATTAAGAGTAACCAAGAAGTGACAATAGAAAGTCAGTGGAACAAAAGATCCTGGGATCACTCAAACACACAGATGTACAATTAACAACTATTAAAAGACAAGGATGCCACCCTGGATTCACCGTAACTTGGAGGAGAAACCCCCTGGGCCGACAGAGGCAAGAAAAACTGTGACCTCAAGAGGAATGGTCATTTTAGACTCTGCCACTCCCTGCTTCACAGCAGCAAAATACCACTCACAGAGAAATTTCTGAACCCAGGAATTCCAAGGTGGGAGGAGGGAATTGGAGGTGAAAGTCTGATCTCCCCGCTGCTCTGGCAGTCTTCACAGAAAGCACGCTTTGGCCCTGTCCCATGGAAGAGCTGAACCACTTAGGGTAAACATGAGACAAGGAACAGGATGCTGATCACAGTGACCATCCCACAGATCATGATGGCTACTCTGTGCTCCAATTAGTGGAGCTGTCACGCAGAGGAGATTGGTTATGCCATAGCACTGTTAGGGCATTATCCATGGGAAGGCCTAAGTCCCTGGCCAGATTCCCCAATTATCTCAGGTGCTCCTATGGAGCCTTTTCCTGACCAAGAAACATTTAAAATGTTACAATTAAGCTCTGGTGCTTGCTTAAGTCTTTCTCAGACCCAGAAACCACTGCAGCTTTAAGTTGCAGTGTAGCAATTAACTTGTGGTGTGAACTGTACATTCTCCCCAGAACAGGGCAACAACAGGCCAGCAATTAAATTCTGATATTAAGTAGTAAAGGTTTAACACTCAAAGAACACCTGCGAAAGCTGAAGAGGTGGCCATGTCCTCAAATGCACAGATACCAATGTAAGGACACAGGATTGTGAAAAATCAGAAAAATGACGCCACCAAAAGAAACCAATAAAGCTCCAGCAACCAATCCCCCAAAATTGAAGGTGACAAGATATATTGAGACAAGAAAATGAGAAATTGACAAAGAAATAAAAACAATTTAAAAAACAAATATAAATCCCAGAAATAAATAATACAATAACTGTACTCAAAACTTAATAGAAAGCTTCAGAAAACGGACTTGATCAAACAGAACAAAGAATCAGTGAGGTCAAAGACAGAACATATGAAATTATCTAATTAGAGGAGCAAAAAGAAAGAATTTTAAAAAGTGAAGAAGGCTTATGGGACTTATTGGATACCGTCAAACAAACTAACCTTCGCATAATAGGAGTTCCCAAAAGACACAAGAAAGAAAAAGGCCTATAAAGCGTATTTGAGAAGAAAAAAACAGCTGAAAATTCTCAAATCTGGAAGAAGACGACAGCATCCAGGTACAAGATGCTCCGAAGTCACCAATAAGACTCAACCCAAAGAGAAATTCCCCAAGGCACATCATAATAAAATTATTAAAAATCAGAGACAAAAAAGAATATTGAAAGTGGCAAGAAAAAAGAAACGTATTATATTCAACAGAGACCCCCATGGGGTTTTCAGCAGATTTCTCAGCATAAACCCTCAGGGCCAGGAGAGAGTGGGACAATACATTCACAGTGCTGAAGGAAAATATTGCAAACTAAAATACTGTGCCCAGCAAAGCTATTCTTCAAACATAAAGGATAGATAAAGATTTTTTCAGGCAAACAAATTTGAGGGAATTGATCAAAACCAGATCTATCTCATAAGAAATGTCAAAAGGAGTTCCTCAGTTTGAAAGAAAAGGGTGCTAATATGTAACAAGAAAACATCTGAAGGTATAAAACTCACTAGTAAAAGTATAAGGACAAATTCAAATATTCTAATACTGAAATTGTGGTGTGTAAACCACATACATCTTTAGTATGAAAACTAAGACAAAACTATTAATAAATAACAATAATAACTGCAATTGATTAAGAGATAGGAAATATAAAATAACGTTAATTGAGACCTCAAAAAGTGAAAATGTGGGGGGGAAATGATGTTAAGTGTAGAGTTTGGTTTTGTTTCTTTTCTTTGCTTGCAACTAAAGATGTCATTCAGCTTAAAATAACCTGTTCTAACTATAAGATGATTTTTGTAAGCCTCATGATAACAGCAAAGCAAACATCTACAATAGATGATACACTAAAAATAAATAGCACAGAACCAAAGCATACTACTAGAGAAAATCACTTAACCACAAAGGAAAACTGTAAGAGAAGAAAAAAGGAAGAAAGGATCTACAAAACATCCAGAAAACAAGTGATGAAATGACAGTAGGAAGTCCTTACTCATCAATAATAACCTTGAAGTAAACAAATCAAAGTTGAAGTCCCCAATTAAAAGACATGATGTGGTTGAACTGATTTAAAAGAAAAGACCCAACTATAGGCTAGTACAAGAAACTCACTCACCTATAAAGACATGAATTGTGTGGACATTTCTCCTCTTTGTAAGGAGATTAGCTGTATTGGATTAAGGACAAATTGTGCTCCAGTATGATCTCATATTAACTAATTACATTTGTAACGACTTCATTTCCAAATACAGTCACATTCTGAGATATTAGGGGCTAGGATTTCGAAGTATAAATTTTTTGGGGGTGCACACAATTCAACCCAAAACAATTGCTCTATCAGTTTGCATTCCTGCTGCTATGTATGAGAGTTCCAGATCTTCCACATCCTTGTCAACACTTGATACTGTCAGTATTTTAGCCGTTCTAACAGGTGTGCAGTGGTACTTATCATAGTTTGTATATGCATTTTCTTAATGGAAAACTGAGATTTTGTGTGTAGACAATCAGGTTGTCTGTGAGGAGGAGCACTTTCATTTCTGTTTTTCTGTAGGTCTTTTCACTACTGTATTCTGATTGCAGAAGGAAACCATTCAGTCTTTCACCAGTAAGTATAATGTTAACTGTAGGGTTTTTATAATGCCTTCTAATCAAGTTGATGAAGTTTCCTTCTATTCCTAGTTTGCTGAAAGTTTCTAAGTGATAAATAGAGTTTGCATTTTATCACATGCTTAATCTGCATTAATTTATATAATCTTATGGAATGTATATTTTAATGTGAATTACATTGACTAATTTTAAATATCAAACCAGCTTTGTATGCTCACGAAACCTCCCTTTGTAGTGATATATTTTTCCTCTTATATATTGCTGAATTCCATTTGATAATACCTGATTGAGAATCTTTAAAATCAAAATTCAGGAGGCATATTGGTCTGTGGGTTTGTTGGTTTGCCTTTTTTTTGGTCTGGTTTTAGCATCAGGGTAATGTTACACTTATAAAATAGGTTGGTAAATGTTTGCCTGTCTTCTGCTTTCTGAAACAGATGTATAGAATTTTCAAGTTTTTTCTTTCTATTTTTCATATGGATAATTTCTTTGCTCTTTCTTTAGTCAATTCCATTCTCTGCTATTAAGTTTATTCTTCAAGTATTTTACTTCTATCACTATATATATATATCTCCATTTTATAATTTCAATTTATATATTTTATTTTTATTTGTTAAAAATGTTCATGATTATACATTTGAGCAATTTAAAAATAGCTGCTTTAATATCCCTGTCAGATAATTCCAACATCTACATCATCTGATTGTAGGCATCTGTTGATTGTATTTTCCCATCAAAGTTGACATTTTCATCTCTCTTCACATATATATTTTCTATCGTATCCTGGATATTTTGATTATTATGTTATAGGACTCTGGGTTTTACTTAAATCCTATGGAAAATGTTGATATTTTTGGTTTTGCAGGCAATCTACTTGTTAAAACAAAAGTTCAGGCTGCAAATTTCTACCCATCTTCTATAGCATATAGTTACTGCTTCAGTTCAATTTCAAAGTTTTTGCAGTGGCTCAGTACTATTTGGATTTGTCCCTTGTGTACACTACTCAGTTGTCAGTCTGGGACCTATATAATAACCTATGCATTAGCTCAGTTCTCCAAACTCTTTGGTATGCTGACTAGAACCAGATTCATGCATATGCAGGTTGAAGTCAGCCCAGAAGTTCATAAACAACTTTATGGGTTCTCTTCCTGAGTTCTCATTCATTATAGCATCTCATTCCATAAAATAGATGAAGTGCTGCTCTGGGCATGGCAGCACTGTTGATTTTTATAAGGTTGGGACAAGTAAACGGGATAAAAAACAAAAACAGATTGGTTAACATAAGATTACTTCAGTTGCTTTTAAGAGTTAAAGCAAAGAGGACTTCATAATTACACTGGCTTAGGTCAAATGGGCCCTTTCTAATTGGTTGCTGCAAATATGCTAATTTCAGGAAAGTATTATTTAGTATTCCATGACTAGGTTAAATTAAAACACAGAGTGAGAACAAATAGGTCTAGAATCTGATCCCATAAAAGGGAGCAGTAGTGCAATTTGAGCAGTTATGTTAGGAATGTTGCTAAAGTGAGCTCATGGGTGGACTAAAGGATCTCTTACATAATGTAAAGATTTGGGTTTGGCATGAGAGATTCAACACTCCCTCAAGTTACCCACAGAAGCTACTAATTGTGAGACTTTAATGACAGTATTATACTTCCAAGCAAAAGAGGGAAACATAGGAAAGGAAAATAATTAAGAGGGGTAAGAGTCTCATGATGATGAATCTTATTCTTATGTCTTGGGAAAAGCTGTCCACAACTTGAAGTTGTCAACTTCTCATCCTGTTTGCAGTATGAAGGTCTCTGGTTGTGGCATTTGTCATTTCAGTGAACTCTCAAGGCACAAAGTTGCCCCTAGAAAATGATGTTGACTTGTCGGGCTCCAGATTATAGGGCTTCAAGAACAGAACTGTTCTTGTCACTAGTGGAAGCCAGATATTGAAGGGAACAAGAAAAGTTTGAGGATCCAGTCCAATCTACAGGTAGATAATAAAAATTCAAAAACAGCCAGGCTTGGTGGCTCACGCCTGTCATCCCAGCACTTTGGGAGTCTGAGATGAGCAGATTACCTGAGCTCAGGAGTTCAAGACCAGCCTGGCCAACATGGCAACACCCCATCTCTACTAAAAATACAAAAATTAGCCAGATGTGATGGCGGGCACCTGTAATCCCAGCTACTCAGGAAGCTGAGGTAAGCAAATCGCTTAAGCCTGGGAGGCAGAGGTTGCAGTGAGCTGAGATCGCACCACTGCACTCCAGCCTGGGTGACAGAGTGAGACTCTTTCTCAAAATAAATAAATAAATAAACAAATAAACAAACAATGAATAGAGCTATAATCCAATAACAAGTATACTATAGTTTTTTTAGAAACGTACTTTTTATCTCTATAGTCACCCCAATTTCTACCTGAGTTAATCAAAGTAAGACTAATTTGTTTATAAAAATAAATTTACTCTCATCATACTTTGCCTGATTATGTAAGCACAGCAAAAATAGTGATTGACAATATAGGCCCCTTTTTCACGTTGAAGACTTCTGATACAACTATGAAGCAAATCCTTATTTTTTTTTTTTTTAAACTTGTTTTAGGTTTAGGGGTACATGCTATATAAGTAAACTTGTGTCACAGCGGTTTGTTTTACAGATTATTTCATGAGCCAGGTATTAAGCCTAGTACCCAATAGTTACATTTTCTTCTCCTCTCCCTCCTCCCACCCTCCACCCTCAAGTAGACCCCAGGTTCTGTTTTTCCCTTCTTTGTATTCATGAGTTCTCATCATTCAGCTCTCACTTATAAGTGAGAATATGTGTTATTTGGTATTCTATTCCTGTGTTAATTTGCTAAAGATAATAGCCTCGTGCTCCATCCATGCTCCTTCAAAACATGATCTTGTTCTTTTTCATGGCTGTATAGTATTCCATGATGTATATGTACCACATTTTCTTTATCCAATGTGTCATCGATGGACATTTAGGTTGATTCCATGTCTTTGCTATTGTGAATAGTGCTGCAGTGAGCATTCACGTGCATGTGCCTTTATGGTAGAATGATTTATATTCCTCTGGGTATACACCCAGTAAAGGGATTGCTGGGCTTAATGGTAGTTCTGCTTTTAGCCCTTTGGAGGATCGCCATTCTCCTTTCCACAATTGTTGAGCTAATTTACACTCCCACCATCAGTATCTAAGTGTTTCCTTTTCTCCGCAACCTCACCAGCATCTGTTATTTTATGACTTTCTAACAATAGCCATTCTGACTGGTGTGAGATGGTATCTCACTGTGGCTTTGATTTGCATTTCTCTAATTCTCAGTGATATTGAGCTGTTTTTCATAAGCTTGTCAGCCACATGTATGTCTTATTTTGAGAAGTGTCTGTTCATGTCCTTTGCCCACTTTTTAATGGGATTGTTTGTTTTTCTTGTAAATTTGATTATGTTTCTTATAAATCTGACCTTTGTCAGATGCATAGTTTGCAAATATTTTATCCCATTTTGTAGATTAACTGTTTACTCTCCTAATAATTTCTTTTGTTGTGCAGAAGCTCTTAAGTTTAATTAGATCCCATTTGTCAATTTTTGGTTTTGTTAAGATTGCTTTCAATGTCTTTGTCATAAAATCTTTGCCCATTCCTGTGTCCAGGATGGTATTGCCTAGGTTGTCTTCCAAGAGTTTACAATTTTGCTTTTTACATTTAAGTCTTTAATCCATCTTGATATGATTTTTGTATATGGTGTAAGGAAGGGGTACAGCTTCAATCTTCTGCACATGGCTAGCCAGTTATCCCAGCACCATTTACTGAATAGGAAATCTTTTACCATTGCTTATTTGTTTAGCATTGTTGAAGATCAGATGGCTGTAGGTGTGCAGCCTGATTTCTGGGCTCTCTATTCTGTTCTACTGGTCTGTGTGCCTGTTTTTGTACCAGTACCATGCTGCTTTGGTTACTGTAGCCTGTAGTATGGTTTGAAGTCAGGTAACATGATGCATCCAGCTTTGTTCTTTTTGTTTATGATTGCCTTGACTATTCAGGCTTTTTTTTTTTTGGTTCCATATGAATTTTAAAATAGTTTTTCCTAGTTCTATGAAGAATGTCATTGGTAGTTTGATAGGAATAGCATTGAATATATAAATTGCTTTGAGCAGTATGCAATTTTGATAATATTGATTCATCCTCTCCATGAGCATGGGATGCTTTTCTATTTCTTTGTCTTTTCTGATTCTTTGAGCCATGTTTTGTAATTCTCATTGTAGAGATCTTTTACCTTACTGGTTACCTGTATTCCTAGGTATTTTATTCTTTTAGTGGCAATTGTGAATGGGATTGCCTTCCTGATTTACCTCTCAGCTTGGCTGTTGTTGGCCCCTTTAAGTTTACTTTCCTGAATCTTTTTATAAGAAATATCAGATTTGTCTTTTAAAAGCCTCTCAAAGCTATAATGTCAAGCCAAGGACTCATCATCAAACTTTGCCTGCAATACCTATAGATTTTAGTGAATTCCTCTTGTCTTGGGCTCTCCAAAATATCCTGAGGTTCCTGGGCCTGCCAGGAAGTGAGAGCCACTATGAGGCTGAGAATCTTTGAAGCTAGATGTTCTTTGTATCTTCTCAAATATAGTATCCCAGTCAGAGTCTTAGTAATATAACCGGTATTTCCAATTCTGTCCTGTTATAAAGAAAACAGAGTCTTATTGAACTTTTGCAATTCACTGTATTGCCAAGAAATAAGAAAATCAACAAGTAGCTTTGTGAATTCTGGAAGAATCAGGTAGGGAGAAAAGGTAAATATTTTAATTCTGTTTACAAAAGCGTATGTTACCAATATGCTATAGATAGCTTAAGAAAAAATTTAAAATTTCCTTAGTTCAGGAAAATAAAACATTTAAGAACCTCCAAAATTTTGAATAGAAAGTCAAAAAACATTATCCTCAGCAGAATGAACATCATGCAATTCTTATTTTGCTTGATCTTGTTACAGCTGTTGCATGAAGCCATTAGGTTTTTCATTAGAGTTTTAAAAATTCTTACCCAGTCCAATGATAAGATCACAAAGTTATCAGCAGCAATCTGTATTTCAGAGTACCTGTCAGAGTCTTTTTCATGAATGTCCTTGAAGATAAGGCAATTTTAAACTGTAGCTGATTACAAACACTTTCAGAGAAGAATCAAAGTAAAGCAATTAACTGTCCATGAACGACAAGAGTTAAATTGCCCATTGTTAAAAAATCTGATGACAGCTTATTATAACAATAATGTAATTACAAGGAGATGTGGTTATTTTTGTGACATAACTATATTTTAGACTTGGATGTTACTACCTTTTAGGATGTAAAGAAAAAGAGATTGAGTGAAGTTAGAAGCAATTTTTTTAAACTTGAATATTACAAATGTTAACTTTCTATATGCTCCAACTTAACTGAACCTTAGAATTGAATTCTATATTGTGTTTGAAAAACAGTGGTAAAAAAAGGGAGAAGCAAGCTTTTGAGAAATGCAACTGCTTAGATTTATAAACTAGACAACTAGCAGCATCTAGTGGTCATGCTCATGATCAACCCCTGTCTTCATTTTCATTGTTGCTTGGAATTAACTTGCATTCCAAGGCTTGGCAGATATTTTGAATTAAGTAAAAACCACATGTGAAAAAAAAACAAAAAACTTAAACTAAACATCAGTTTCAATGTATATGTGTTGTAAACATACAACACATATACTGTTGTTTATAATTGCGTTCAATTTCTGATAGAATTTAATACATTGAATAAAACTTATCTAAGACAGTGTTCAGCTGCTTTATTTGTCTTAAGAAGGGTTGTGATTTTGCCACATTTAGGGGACTGGACTTAATTTTATCAATTTCAATATTAAATGTTCAGTTGATATTTTGGAACTATTATGGAAAACTGTATTATTTTAACTGATAATATTGACATGGATTTTGAACAAATATTTATTTTATTCATTTGTTTGAAATTGAGTTATAAGCACAACAGTTTTCCATCCTTGAAAGCACATGACAGTGAGGTTTATACACATGGTTAAAAAATGATAATAGGTAATAATTACTTGGTGGCAAAAGAAAGGTAGCCAGGAGTTTTTATGATTCTCATGACCAATCTGCAAATAAATAATCAAAAGTTGAATGCAGATTAAAAACTGTCAGGAAATGGGTGATTTCTACTAACATCATTCAAATGCTCTAAAAATTATCTATTTCACATGCTGATAGTATGTTACATGGATACTAAATACACAAGGATTATAAGCAAAAATGCAGGAGGGGAAATGGAAGAAAGAGACTAATGACGTTTATGCACCTTTCAAGTGCCAGGCACTGGGTTGTGCTTCATGTGCATCCATCATTATCCTTCATCTCCATGACAATTCTACTGGCAGGTGTCTTTGTCCCCCATTTAATAGATAATGGAATGAAGTCCTGCTCCTGTGATCACACAAGTAGTAAGTGACCAAGGTAAATTTGAATTTGACCAAATCTGACTAAAAATTGATGTTCTCAGAGTTTATCAACTCATTATATACACAAAATCTATAGTCTGGGAAAAAAAGTTTTTTACAATATCAGCATTTTTTTAGTCCTGTCATTGTTTTGCAAGCCCTGAAAAGACATAACTTCAGAGTAAAGGAGTGAACAATGTGCCATCCCCAAATATGCCTACTTGGTATGTTGATTATTCTGAGTTAAAAACATTAGAGAAATAATTTCAGAAAGGCTGAGCTGACCTATCTCTTTCTACCTGCAGCAAACAATAAAGATTCCTCTGGAAGGGGTACTCTCTCCATATCAGGGTCAGAAAATAGCCCGTATCACCAGAGACTTGGAATTGAAGGCTACAGTGGACCTAAATAAACATAATTAATGAAGTAATCCTCATCCTTCACCTGTTTTACACTTTCCCATGTATTTCTTAGTAACTCCCCTGGAAAATTTTTACCACTGTAGCCAGATTTTCTTTGTCCTATCATTTCTTCTCAAATCTATCACTCTATGTCTAAAAAGTATCAAGGCATCTTGCTTTGGCCACTTCTTTTGACTTCCCTCTCTTGTGAAGAACCCCATGTGCATGTAAAACTAATAAAATTTGTATGCTTTTCTCTTATCAACCTGCCTGGTGTCAATCTGGTTTCTCCATCCAGCTGAAGAACCTATTAAGAGTTAAAAGGGGGGTTGGAGGTGACCCCTGGCTCCCTACAAGTGTCATCTGTTATCTTGAAAGATGCTCCACTGGTCAAGCATGACTCTTACTCATCAGTGAACAAACATTTTCATTTTACACATTTATTCAACTATTCTCTCAGGTACTTGTAGGACTGGAGAACAAAACAGGTAGGACATTGCTTTCATGGAGTTATGGTCTAGTTGGGAAAGATGTAACAGGTTTCAAAGGTAATAAAACTGTGCTAAACATGAAAGGAACAAATACACAATGCTTGGAAATGTTTTGAAACCTCCACAATTAAAGATAAGGCTTAAGATAAAAATCTAAGTTAGAAGTGGTATTACAAAATAAATGTATATAGCATTAGAGATTTATTCATTCAAAAATCATACATTTTGCACCTACGATGTGGTGCTGTTGATATCAAACAGATGATACAAACAGCCTAAACACCAAGAACTCAGTAAAAATATATGCAAACCATTATTCACAATACTGAAGATACACTAGTGTACAATATGTACTATAGTGGTAGAGGAGAAGAAGGAATGTTGGTGTCTGCTTTGATGAAACTTGCAGAGTTCACAAAGGAAATATTCAAACTCTGTTGGTTACTATCCAGATTAAGGTGTAACAGAAGATAATGACAGAGGAGTCCACATAAAGGCAAGAAAGAGATGGAGAGAAGTAGATGAATTTGAGACATATTTAAAGGCAATAATACATTAAGGGTAATGTCTCCTCATTATGATAGAATAGTACACCCTTCCCAAGTAAGTAAGATGAGAAGAAGCTGTTGACTGTGTCTGGCACACTAACTGGTCTAAACTGACACGTTCCCTTTCCTTGAAGCCTTCTCAAATGGTCAATAATTATTCGTTTCCTATTTTGGCAATACTGTTTAATATAGGTATAACATTGGTCCTTAGTTCTTTTTGAAAGTATATTTATTGTCAAAAAGTTAAACTATATATACCTCCATACTTTAGGCCCACAGCAAGAAAGGGCACTTTTATACTTTTTGGTACATAAACGCATGCACACACACACACACACACACACAGGCACTCACAGACACACACTTAATAAATGAGAACATACTACTCACAACTCCACTGTCCCTCATTTTACCCATCTGTCTGTTTGTGTGTCGGATAGTACCACATATCAATCGTTATTTAGATTGTTTGCAATTTTGCACTATTTAAAACAGTGCCCATCTGTGTTTATTTTTCATGGCCTAATTTGTGATGATAACCTAGAATAAATTCCTGGAAATGAAACTGCTGAGTTAAAAGGTAAATATTTTTTAATCGATATTGTCAAATTGCACTCAACAATTTTGTTTTACTTTATATTCTCACCAAGAAACACATTAAGTTCCTGTTTCTGCACACCCACACTCAGTTTAGGAAAGCTTTAAATCTGTGCTTCTATGATAGATGAAATATGATACTTAAATGTCAATTTGATTAACTTATGAGTTTGTGTACTTTACCCATTTTTTATTTTATTATTTTTGTTTCTCTCGTTGTATATGTGTGCTTTGAAATTGAAAGTATAAATGTTTTAATTTCAAAACCCTTATCTACATTAAGTCCTATGTATAAACATTAACTTTTTATTTTAATTAAATTTAATTAGTTTAAAAATATTTTAAAACTTGACTATGTAGTTTAAATTTTAACCATCATTTATATATATGTATGACTATACATCTACATATCTACATCATGTATTGTAAAATACAGAGGAAGAATTGTCATACTCCTTTCTAAGTTTGTATCAGATGCCAACATTGTATCTTCCAATGATGTGAAATATCTTAGAGAATTTCTTTCAAGTGAAGTATTTGTGCTGTTACCACCACCTCGTCTTCAACATCTTTGTCCTTTTTGTCAGAACCACTTTCCTTATGCATGTCATTAAGTGGGAACTTCACTAAGTTCCTCTGGCTGTGTAATTAGAGTCTCTTAATGGCAGCTATTTTCCCATAACTCCATTCATATTTGACTCACATTTCCCTGCTGGTGTTACTTTTTGTTTTTTTGCTGCACTTTTATGTATGTTGACTTCTTTAATTCCCTCTTTGGATTATTCACTTTTATAAAATGTCAGGTGGGTTTTTCAGTAGGAGACCAGGAAGCAACATAACAAAATGCTTTGCTGTCTGTGGGAACTGAATTACAGATGTGCAGTGAACATTCACTAACAAACTTTAAAAGAAGTTACATCATTGGCCACTGATCACAATGTATCCATGTTATTTACATAAGCATTTACGGTCTGAAAAGCTAGCAGCAACATTTGTACTTTACTCTGTTACTCAGTTAATATACTGTGAAAACTAAAATTTGAACTGCGTTGTTGGGGAATTACTATTATTTGGTATTATTTAACTAAATCATGGTAATTGAAATCTGTACATATTGGAACTGTGCAAGGAAGGACTATCTGTATACACGTACATATGTGTGTGAGTTTATTTCAATACCATATGTACAAATACATGGTGTTAGTTTATTAGTGCTGCCATAACAAAGTACACATACTGAATGGCTTAAATAACAGAAATTTATTTTCTCACAGTTCTGGAGACAAGAAGTTGAAATCAAGGTGTTGGCAGAGGTGGTTTCTTTGAGGCCTTTCTCCTTGCTTTGTGGATGGCCATCTTCTCCCTCTGTCTTCACATGGTTTTTCCTCTGTGTGCTCATATTCCCATGTCCAAATTTCCTCTTCTTATAAGGACATTAATCATATTGGATTGTAGCCCGCCATATAACCTCACTTTAATTACCTCCTTAAAGGACCTTTCTCCAAATACAGTCACATTCTAAAGTACTAAGTTTAGGACTTTAACATGTTAATTTTGGATGGCCACAATTCAACCCAAAACCCTCCAACTCTCTGGCCCTCCAAAATTCATGTCCTCTTCACATGCAAAATATATGAGTTCTTTCCCAATAGCTCAAAATATTTAACCCATTCCAGTATTGAATCCAAGTCTAAAAGTTCATCTAAATATCATCTAAATCAGGCATAGTGAGAATCAAGCTATGATTATCCTCAGGCAAAATTCCTCTTCAGCCTGAACCTATAGAACTGCAAAAGTTATCAACTTACTAAATGCAATGGTAGGGCTGGCATACAATAAACATCCCATTTCCAAAAGGGATAAATCAGAAAGAAGAAAGGGGTCAGAGGTCCCAGGCAAGTCCAAAACCTACCAGGGCAAATTCCAGTATATTTTAAGGGTCAAGGATAATCCCTTTTGTTTCAATTCTTTGTCTTCAGGACCCACTGGGGAGGTGAGCCTGCCCCCCAGGGCATCTGGGGTGGCAATTTTGCTCCCTTGGCCCTGGATAATGGCAGCCTGGCCTGCTGAAACCAAGGTGGTGGCCCCACCCTCTGAAACTGGAGAAGAGACAGCCCTGTCACCCAGGCCTGAGACTCTGAGCCCATGGTAATAGTGGCAGTCCCACCTTTGGAGTCATTTTTCTCTTTTCTTGAAGAATAGCACAGATTTTCAGCCAGATACCCCAATTGGCCCATCCTATGGAATCTCAGAAGTCTGGTGGCTTTCCTTCACTCTCTCCCATCACTGTCCCTTTTACTCCAAGCTGGCAGTTTTTCTGCTGATATAAAATTCTCAAAAATAACCTTGTTGACTTCATAGGGATCCAAGCCATCAGACAAGAGTGCCCTCCACATATTTTTCCTGGATAATCACATCTCTATTCTTGCCTTCTGGTGAGATCGTTGATTCAATCCATGTGTCACATTCATAATTTCTTTATGAAATGAATGACCAGTCACACCCTTGTTTTCTGTTCAGAAGAAGCTTTCTCATTTTTTGGCCATATGAATAAACTGATAATTTTCTAAATCTCAAGTTTTGACTCCTTTATTCTTAATGATCCTTTGATGTATCTCTCTTCTCTTGCATTTTACCATAAGCATCAAAAAGAAACCTGGCCACACTTTCAAAAGTTTGCTTAGAAATCACCTCAGCTAAAGACCTGGGTTAATCACAAGTTCTACCTTTCATAAAACACTAGAGCACAATTCAGTCATGTTCTTTGCCACTGTATAATAGGTATTGACTTTGCTCCAGTGTCCAAAACATATTTCTCATTTCCACCTAAGGTTTCACAGTAGCACTTTTTAATTTTTTTTTTTTTTTGAGACAGAGTCTTGCTGTGTTGCCCAGGCTGGAGTGCAGTGGCGTGATCTCGGCTCACTGCAACTTCTACCTCCTGGTTCAAGAAATTATCCTGCCTCAAACTCCCAAGTAGCTGGGATTACAGGCATGTACCACCATGCCCAGCTAATTTTTATATTTTTAGTAGAAATGGGGTTTTGCCTTGTTGGCCAGTCTGGTCTTGAACTCTTGACCTCAAGAGAACTGCCCACCTTGGCCTCTTAAAGTGCTGGGATTACAGGTGTGAGCCACCGCACCCGGCCCCACAGTAGCACTTTTAATGTCCGTATTTCCACCAACTGTTTCTTTAAGGCAAGCTAAGCTTTTTCTAACATGGCATCATCAGTCTTCCAGCCTCTACTCGTTACCCATTTCCAAAGCCACTTCCACACTTATTGTTATTTTTACAGTTGGCATCCCACTCTCAGTATCAAAATCTGTATTAGATTGCTAAGGCTATCATAACAAAAAACAAAATACCATTTCCTGGGGGGTTTGAATAACAGAGATTTATTTTCTAAGAGTTCTGGAGGCAAGGAGTCTGAGATCACAGTGTTAGCAGAGTTTTGTGATTTGTTTTGCTTTGGTTTTTATTTTTTATTTTTTTAGACTGCCCTCCATAGATTGTAGATAGCTTTCTCTCTGTCTTTACATAGTCTTTCCTCTGTGCATGTGTATGTCTAATGTCCAAATTTCCTTTTCTTATAAAGGCACCAATCTACTGGATTGGGCCCATCTTACCCTTTTTACCTTAATTACATCTATCCCAAATACAGTCACATTCTGAGGCACTGGATGTGAAGGCTTCAATATATGATTTTGGACACGCACAATTCAACTCAAAATATATGATAACACATGCGCCCACACACACATACACGTACATGTATGTGTATACTACTCTAAAATTTGTGTCTACAGCCTAGACCCCTCTCCCGACTCATATATGCAATTGCGTGAGGGCTAAAAGGCATACAAAAATTAATGTGTCCAAAACTGAGCCTCTGAGAATAATTCCCAAATCAGCACTTCCTGCACTATTCTTTATTATAGTCAATGGTAACTCCATTTGAATGGACCAAAATTCTTCAAGTCATCCTTGACTCCTCTCTATTTCCCACAACTATATCCATGCCTTCCACAAATTCTAATAGTTCTACCTTTCCAAAATACGTACAAAATTTGATTCTCATTCTTACCACCTGGATTCCGGCAACTGTCATCTCTGAAGGATTGTTGCATTAGCCCCCTCACTGATATTGCTTCTTCTGCTCTTCCTCACGTATATTGTACCCTCAAGCAATAGGCATAACAGTTCTAGGAAAATAAGAAACCATCAGTTTCTCAAAACCCTCCAGTGACTCCCATCTCATTCAATGAAAAACTAAATTCCTTAATGTTACCTCCAAAGCTCCCTATTTTCTAGTTTTCTCTACTTTTCTTACTTTTTTCCCTAGCTATTCTCCAATTCAAGAACCCCTTGGTCCCACTGAACATGTCATGTATGTTTTGACTTCAAGTCTTTTGCAATTGTTAATCTCAATGCCTTGGTATTCTCTCTCCAGATGTTCATATGACTACTGTGATCACTTCCTCAGGATTTTAATGAAATGTTCATTTTCTTTAAGGCTTTTACTGCATATCTGAATAGCACTGCCACTTCTAGAGCCCCTTTCCTGTATTAATGTTTCTCCTTAAAAATTATCAATATCCATTCTACTATATATTTTATTTGTTTATTTTATAAGTTATCAAGAAACAGTAGATTTAAAACTAATTTTGTCAAAATCAAGTTACTCCTCCATGTATAGTATCCTGGGCTTATGTATGTTTGGTAGAATGCTATTATCTGACCTTTTACAATTTAAATTAATGTTGCTCTATACAACTCGCCAATTAATGATTTTGCTTTCATAATTGGTAATTACATAGATTTTGTGAGATAATTATAAATTTCTGAGAAAATTTAAAAATAGCCATTCAACTTAATTGAATCATTTATGGTTGTTATTGATAACTTGATCTTATGAAATTTTTAATGATAGTCTTTGACAACCTATTGTGAATAGGCAAAACCTTTTAAAATAATGTTCAGATGATTTTTTAACAATGTTTAGGTTTTTAAAACTTTTAATCTTGATATGGAAAATAGAGTACACCACCTGACTCACCAGAATTTTATAACATTAGTGCATATAATCTTTGAACTACATTATGGACAAGATAAGAATGTTGGTCCATACAGCTGTGAGGTCAAGGCCAGGTTTGCTGTCTTTTAGGAAGAATGTAAGGACAATAGGAGAATATGCCCTCTTTCGTTAATATCCATTGTTTCAGAGGCCATATTAAAATTGTAGTATATTACACAAGTCTATAAGGAAGGTTACTCTTTCTGGCTGAAAAAACCTGTGAGTTTTCTCCTCCTGTTATAATGTTTATCCTTAATTCAATTGACTATGAACAAGCAACAGCATATTCACTCAGATGAAACAATCATACAGGACCTATTCTCCTGTTGTGGGTGTGGTTTGACATATTTCCTAGAAGCTATATACTACATATTGACTGAAAAGATACAACAAAATTCCTAATGGGTAGAAGTCCCCACCCAGGCCCAGAAAATAGAAAGAAATTTCTCTACTAAGTTATTAATTTGGAAATGTATTTCTTCATTTTGTGAGTTCCTAAATTGTATGGCTTAAAAAAAATCACACCAGATAATTTAAAAGTATTTTGACTAGTTGCTATACTGTTGTTAATTTTTCACTTTTATCTGGAGAATTAATTAAAATTTAAGGAGATAATTCTAGAGTCTAGAAATTCCACAGCCTTAAGTTTTGCAGCTGATACATTTTTTTTAAAAAGGCCAAAGTTTGGTACAAACCTAGTATCTCCACTCTCTTCATATTTCTAGGATATTCCTTCCTTATTATAATCCAATAAAAAAGAGTTAGACTTCTCTTCTCACAGGATCAATAGGAAATCTAGTCTCTTTCAAGGTCTCCCTCCCCAAGTCTTTGGGAGGAGGGGATGTCTTAAAAGTGCCTATGTGATCCACAAATTTATCTAATTTATTTCTCATCACAGTAAATCTGTCTACTACTTCAGATCTTCTACTGTCACATTTTGCAGTGTCATAACCATCTTTTTTGGCTGTGTGTGGTTTCTATGTTTGTATAACTTCTCACTAAGTGTAGGCCGCTCTTCTTCCATACATTATTTAATTAAGTAACATCTCAGATGTAATATTTCAATACACTTCATTGAAGGTTTTTGACAAAAGTAAATAATTAAAAGCTAGGGTGAAAAGTACATTGTACATACTAGATGATGTGGCTCCTGAATTTCACAGGATACGTTCTTCCACTAAACATTCCCCACTCTCTTCACTCTTCTTAAGTCTAAAAAGTGCCACCATATTACAAGAACTAGTCCACATGTCTAGAAAAGAGATTGATAGAACAGAGATATCAGAAATAAACCGAACTGTACATGATTAATTGGATTTCAATCAACTTGCAAAAGCCATTCAATAGAAAAAAGAAGTCTGTTTAACGAATAGTGATGGAAAGCTTAAATATCTATTTGGGGAAAAAAGGAAAGCAAAAATAAAGGCAGGAAGAATAAAAAAAGCATCTTTACAACCATGCCTCCTCATACCATACATAAATATTAACTCAAACAGATCATATACCTAAATGTAAAATCTAAAAATTTTAGAAGAAAATGCAATAGAAACTCTTCATGACTTGTGTTGGGCAAATATTTTTTTAAATATGACACACAAACATGATCCATAAAATAAAATTATAAATCAAACTCCATTAAAATTAAGAACTGTGTTTTAACAGACTATTTTAAGAAAATGAAAAGATAAACCACCGATCAAGTAAAAATATTTGCGAATCACATTTTTGATGAAGAACTTGTATTTAATATTTATATACATATTTATGATTCAAGTTTCAATCATAATAAAAATGAAAACCTATTCTAAATGAGAATTATTTAGACAAAGTTAATTATTTTCATGTAATGGGAGAAGGAAAACATTAGAGTAGTCTTCCTCTAACAGTGTGCTATTTAGTCTAATTAGCCTATGAGCACTATAAATAAATATTTTTGCTAGTATTTCACTACTAATCTCTTACTTAGAAATAAGAACTCTTCATGTATCTTTCCATGAATTGGAAATATTCAGCCCAGCTTGAGATTTCCTCAGAATGCACAAAAACAAAAAAAAAATTAAACGTCAGGGTTATGTCTAAAAAAGTATAAATATCATATGCATTAAGTACCTCAAGTACTTTGATAACATGCACTAAAAAGTTCAGATTTTACTTTGAATACTGCAAAAGACAAGAACTTGATATACAATGTAGAAAACATTTATTTTTAACAAAATGATTTGGGACATTTTAAGGAACATGCTGAAGAAAATGTACTTCTTATCTTTTATTAGCATGTGAGATAAATATAAGAAAATATTTATGAGATCATCCCAATGGAAAAAATGCATTCTAGCAAGATAGCAGAGCTAAAGTATGTGCCTAACAACATTATATCTGATGAAATAAACTGCACACAGGGGATTCTAATATGTATTTTATGGGAGGTTTGCTGAATGTCTGCATTCTTTTTTGGCCAGATCAAATAGCAATGTTTCCCTTATGTCGTTTTTCCTCCACTTATTTTTGTATATATAAAATATTTATATGTGTAAAACATGTACTACGTATACAATCAGAAATATAACATTGTCAATACACTTTAAGTCCGTTAGGCTCTCATCCCCAATCTCTCCTCAAACTTTACCCCAGGGTACCCCAGGATAAGTACTATTTTCAAACTTGTGCTTACCGTTCTGTTGCTTTATTACACAAAGGCAGTGAAGTGCGTAATTCTATAGTGCAAACCTTCATTAATCAAAACCTATGTATATTTTGATATAACCATAACACAGATTAATATATGGAACATTCTCATCACCCCAGAGACCACTTTTGTGCCTCCCCAGCCAGTCATAACCAAATCAAATGCAAACATCATACTTCTTTCTATTACCATAAAGCACTGTTGCCTTTTCTTAATATTTATATAAACAGAATCATATAGTAAATACTATTTTGTGTCTAATTTTGATGATTCATACAGTAAATACTATTCTGTATCTAATTTTTATGATTCTGGTTTTCAAAAAACATCCAAGCTGTTGCATTTTTGTGTAGTTTATCCTTTTTCATTGCTACATCAGTTTCCATCGCGTGGTTACACTACAATGTGTTTGCCTATTCTACTACTCCTGGGCATGGGTTGCTTCCAGTTTGAAACTACTTTGAATAAAGTTATTAGGAACATCATTGTACATGTCTTATTGGTAGCTAAATTAGTTTATATTTGGTTTTGTTGGATTTACACAAATAGACATTCTGGGTCATAGGGTAGGTGTATGTTTAGCTTTAGGAGACAGTGCCAAACAGTTTTCCAAATAGATTTATCAATTTGAACTCCCACCAGTAATATGTGAGAGTTCTGGCTGCTCCATAGTTTCTTCAAAACGTTCATTTTTTGAAAAAAACTTTTAGCCATCTGGTAGGTTTATAATGATATATCTTGTTGTAGTTTTAATTTGCATTTGCCTAAAGATTGCTGTGATTTTGAGCAGATTTTTATGTTCATTATCCTTTCGAATATCCTCTTTTATGAAGTGCCTGCTTAAGTTCTTTACCCTTCCTTAAAATTAGCTTGTCTGAATTTTACTTAATGATTTGAAGCAGGCTTTTATACCTTCTGGATACCATTTTTTATTGGACTTATATATTGTAAATATCTTCCAGTCTGTAATTATTTTTTAATATCCTACTCATTCTTGATTCTCGGATTTTTTTTTCTGGACTTATTTTCTTTCTTAGAGTATACCCTTTAGATATCCTTTTACCAAGAATTCAATTGACTGTAAGCCCCTCTGTTTTTGTTCATCTATAAGAAGTTTTTTATTCTTATTTTTGAAAATCTTTTAACTGGATTAACAGTTCTCACTGGAGAGCTTTTTCCCTTGTCACCCCATCTTCCAGCTGTTGTATTAGGCTTACAAAAGTCAACTGTTTGTCCAATTGATGTCCAAGTCCTATTTTATATCCTCCTTCTGAAATTTCACCATGAGTTGTAAGGAAATTACTTCTTTATTCTTCTTGAAATATGCTGCTGTATTTCCTAAATCTGAAATTTTGTATTATTTGTTATTCCTGGAAAGGTCTCAGACATCATCTCTTTGAATATTACTTCACTTCTGCCTTGCATCACTCTCTGAATTTCTCGTGCTCTTACTCTAATTAAGTAAATATTCTGCCTTCTTAAACTCTTCTCAGTGTTTTTTAACACCTCTTTTCCACTGTCCTGTCTTTTCTTGCTGCATTCTGGGTAATTAATTAAGGTCTACCATCTCAGCAACTTTCTCTTCTATTGTGTCTAACCTGTTTTTTTTTTTTTTAGCTATCATATTAATCATTGTATTAGTCCATTTTCACTCTGCTGATAAAGACATACCCGAGACTGGGCAAGTTACAAAAGAAAGTGGTTTATTGGATTTACAGTTCCATGTGGCTGTGGAGGCTTCACAATCATGGCAGAAGGTGAAAGGCACATCTCACATAGTGGCAGACAAGAGAAGAGAGCTTGTGCAGGGAAACTCTACTTTTTAAAACCATCAGATCTTGTGAGACGTATTCACTCTCACGAGAACAGCATGGGAAAGACCTGCCCCCATGATTCAACACACACAACACGTGGGAATTCAAGATGAGATTTGGGTAGGGACACAGCCAAACCATATTTATCATTTCTAGCACTTTATGTTTATTTTGTAACGTTGCAAAAACAAGACCTTTAGAATGAGTTTTTTTTTTTTTTTTTTTTTTTTTTTTTTGAGACGGAGTCTCGCTCTGTCGCCCAGGCTGGAGTGCAGTGGCGGGATCTCGGCTCACTGCAAGCTCCGCCTCCCGGGTTCACGCCATTCTCCTGCCTCAGCCTCTCGAGTAGCTGGGACTACAGGCGCCCGCCACTACGCCCGGCTAATTTTTTGTATTTTTAGTAGAGACGGGGTTTCACCGTTTTAGCCGGGATGGTCTCGATCTCCTGACCTCGTGATCCGCCCGCCTTGGCCTCCCAAAGTGCTGGGATTACAGGCGTGAGACACCGCGCCCGGCTAGAATGAGTTTTAATTTCACATTGTCAATCAAAGATACAAGAAACAATAAGTAAACCAAACACTAAGTTTACTTAGCTTTAATAAGGGTATGAAGCAGATAGCAAGTACTATGTGGGGCAAGAAAATCCTGGAGGGCTCAGACACCAAGCTGCAGCTTCCTGTGTACCCAATCATTGCACTGTTCTCAAGAAATGACAAGAATATGTTGAATGAGGGTCACATCAGCAAACACAAACTACAGGGACTAGGGCCCCATAGCTTAAGTACCTTGCTAGTCACCTAAAAGGGTATGTATCTAGCTCTCATTCTTTATTAACACTTTGGCACATTAATAACAGAATAAATAATAAACTAAACCTTGCAAAAATACAAGATGTGGTCATATGGATAAAAATTTTAAGATTCTGGTGAGCTAAGGAAGCTAGGATATCTCCTCAGACAAAGAACAGGTTATTGCACTATATTTGTTCTGGGCTGCTGTGACAAAATACCTCAGACTGGGTAATTTATAAAGAACAGAAATTTATTGCTCACCATTATGGAGGCTAAGAAGTCTAAGATCAAGGTACCAGAAGATTTGAGGTCTGGTCAGGGCTTGCTTTGTTTCAAAGATGGCACCTCTTGCTGCATCCTTACATGGCAGGAGGGAGCAAGGACACTCCCTTCAACCTCTTTTGTAAGAGAACCAATCCTGTCCCTGAGAATAGAGCCATCATGACTTAATTACTTCTTAAAAGGCCCGTCTTTTAATATTATCACATTGAGTATTGGTTTCCAACATATGAATTTTGGAAGACACCGACATTTAGACCATAGCATGTCCTTTACACCTCTTTCCACTAAGACAGCATTTAGTAAGGCTTTTGGGGTTGGATAGGCAGCATATGCCACACTTGAATATACTGCTCTGAATCATGTATGAGGTAACGCAAATGACTGACAGTTTTGTATGGGGCCAGGAGGAAGGCGGGCTGATATGGGAGGTCAAGTCTGTGGTTACAGCAAACTTGCACCTCTGCCATATTACTTGAAAGATCTGTGGTACTATGGGTATCTAGATATATAGCTGATGGGCGTCTAATAGATAAAGATAGTGTATGAAACCTCTGGCAAGCTCCAATAGGAGAATTACTGTGCAATCCTTGGAACATGGCCATGACATTTTATCACAGAACTACACAATATTTGAAAAGCTGCTGCCAACATGCTACTTTACCAAGTAGGAGACTGATATATGACAATAGAACATTGTATAATCATATGACTGAAACTGCCCTCTTGAGCTAGTTGCTATCAGACACAGGAATTCATAAGATCAAGTAAGCCCAGCAGCAGCACTTTGCAAGATAGAAGCAGCACATACAAGACTGGGGTGGAGCAGGTCCAGATGATACAAATGAGCTGTGCCAATGAGTGACTGATGAAGCACACAAGGCACTCACCCACATTGTTGTACCTGCACTTTTTATTCGGCTTACACTTCCAGAGCTCATGGTGAGGTTCTCTGTAAACAACTAATAAAATGAAGTGGATCCATTCATGTATGGGTCAACTTAGTATATTAGCAGAGGCCCAAATGGATTACTGTTGCACTAGAGCCTCACTTAGGAGTGGGTCTGAAAGACAATGGTGAAGTGAAATCCTCCCAGTGGACAGAGTTGCATGCATCTGGTTGTCCACTTTGTGTGTAAAGGGAAAAATGGCCTGCAATCAAGATAAACATAAACTCCTTGGCAAGTGGCTTTAATAGCAAATGACTTAGCTGGTTAGTCAAATACTTGGATTCAGATAGAGTTGAATATCATGGATAAAAATACCTGCAGAAGAGGATGACTACACCTATGAAAATGGGGAAAAGGTATGAAAATTTTATATAGCAAATTGGTGTTCATCACAGAACATCTGTACTATAAAATCAATTAGACATGTTGACTTAATCAGTAGATATCAACTAGTCTCTGTCCTTATTCACCCCAGTACTTGCACAATGGACTCATGAGTGGAGTAACCATGATGGCAGATATTACTGTAAGTCATGGGCCAACAGCATGAACCATTTCTCACAAAGGCTGATCTAGTTACTGTTACTGTTGAAGCTTCAATTTGCCTGTCACAAAGACCAATGGTGTTTGGCCCTCTCCCTGATAAGTTACCATCCATTGAAGAAACAACCTAGTCAGTTGGTAAGAATTTTATTACACTGAATCCCTTTCATCCAAGAAGAATCTATGCTTTCTCATAACTGAAATTGAAATATACTCCAGGTATTAGTTTACTTTTCCTTTCCACAGTGCCTCAGCCAGCACCGCCACAGAGGGGTCACAGAATTTCTGTTCTCCCAACATGATATCCTGTGTAATATCATCTCAGACCAGGTGACACAATTTGTCACAAGGGAGATGCAACAGTGGGATATACCTATGGGACTCATTTGTTGTATCATAGGGTACACAATTTGGAACCTGCTGGCCTCTTGGATTTGGAACAAATTTTTGAAGGTTCAGCTGAGGGATCAACACAGTAGTATAATCCATGCTCCAGGGTACCCTTAGGATCAGGCTGGAAAGATTAGGTTGGAGTTCTTATGAAACCATGTATTTATCTAGATCCTTCTCCTATCCTGCTGACTTCTTCCACTTCCATACAGATTTCTCCTAAGAACACTCCAATAAACCACTGAACGAGTATCTTCCCCCTTAACCTGTGCTTCTAGGGAACCTGAGCTAAGATAACAAGGACTAGATGAGTATTTGTCATGGCACATAAGAGTGGAAGTGGGAAAGAAAGAAAACTCAAAGAAGAAAAGATGCAAGACTCCAAAACTAAAAAACCTTGATGTAATATTTTATATATAATTTAGAACATATATATATTATAAAATAAAAACACATAAATGCATTGAGGACTTACTTTTTCTCAGACAAAGCTCCAAGCACTTTACATCTATACATTCATCAAATTATCACAACAACTCTACAATGTAGAGTCTATTTTAGTCCCTATTTTACATATATGTAGGAATTTGAAGCAGAAGGAGGCTCACAAACTTATCCAAGGCAACCCAGTAAACAGGGAGTCAGTATTCAGACCTGGGCAGTCTGGCTTGAGTTCTCATATTCCTAACTTTAATCAGTTCATTCAGCAAACACATATTGAGTGCCAGATATATGCCAGACACTATTCTAAGTGTCTGGGTGTAGTGCAGAAACCAATAAGAAATCCTGCCTTCAGGGGGTTTACAGTCTAGTGTAAAGGAGACAGAAAAGAAACAAGACATGTAAAAGATATAGCTTGTTAGATAGAATAAACTATTATGGAGAAAATTAAGGCAGGGAAGGAGATAGAAAGACCAATAAGAGTTGAGGTTACAGTTTGAGATAGGGTGGCCAGAGCAAGGCACATTGAGAAGGTAATATGTGGATAAAGCCTAAAGGAAGTAAGGGAGTGACCTGTGTGGAGAGGAGAGCAAAAAGTGTTCCAGGCAGGGAGAACAGCAAATGCAAAGGCCTCAGGGTAGGAATAGCCCTGGCATGGTTGATGAATAATGGTGTATTAGTCCATTCTTACACTGCTAATAAAGGTATACCCAAGACTGGGTAATTTATAAAGGAAATAGGTTTAATTGACTCACAGTTCAGCATGGCTGGGGAGGCCTCAGGAAATTTATAATCATGGCAGAAGGGGAAGCAAACACGTCCTTCTTCACATGGTGGCAGCAAGAAGTGCCAAGCAAAAGTGGAAAAAGCCTTTATAAAAGCCATCAGATCTCATGAGAACTCACTCACTATCAGGGGAACAGCATGGGGGAAACTGTCCCCATGACTCAATTACCTCCCACCAGGTCCCTCCCATGACACATGGGGATTATGGGAACTACAATTCAAGACGAGATTTAGATGGGGACACATCCAAACCATATCAAATGGGAAGGTCAGCATGACTTGAGCAAAACGAATAGGAAGAGTACAGAGAGAGAATGGGAATGTATTGTGCACACCTTTCTAGATCATTTTAGGAATTTTGGCTTTTACTCTGAATGAGGTAGGACATGACTGTGGTGTGTAATAATAGCACATATTTTAATGAGATCATTCTGGTTCTCACAATCAGAATAGATTGATAGGTAGCAAGGGCAGGAACAGGAAGAATTGTTACAGGGTTTTTGCAATAATCCAACAGAGATGACTGAAGTTTGGACCACAGCAGTAGAAGTAGAAGCAGTCAGAAGTGTTATAGTTGTGGAAATATTTTCATGGTAAAATCAAAAGAATATTTTTATTCTATTGGATTTCATTTTTAGTAGTCCAGCCTACCGGGGTTATAATTAGATCCTAATTCTGACTCTCCCCAGCGTTTTACATGTTATCATCTTCCTTTTAGAGGCAACTTGAACCAAGAACCTTTGGTTAAACACCTAAAAGTCTCATTATATGTTGACTCTAATCTTAAAGAGTTTTTCTATTAAAATCCTGGATGTAAGAGTTGAGCTAGCCCATCTCAACAATCACATTTTCCTCTTTCCATTTCTCACTCCTTTCTGACAGCCTTTTCCAAAACTGCTTGACTGATTCAATTAGGAAGAGGCCAATATTAATAATTGGTAGTTTTGGCACCTATCTATGCAGCTTGGCCATGCTGTGAAATTTGGTCATTATGACTGAGCTCAGCACTGTAAGTCCATAGGGGATGGAGAGGGCAGGGAGGACAATCTCCCTCCTCATGGCTTTTTTAGCACAAGCAGCCCCCTCCTTAGTGAACAATTTATTTCAATTCTAGTTAAAGAATATTTTAACTTAATCGTTACAGGAAGATAGTTATTCTAGAGTTAAACATAGAAGAGAACACATACAAATAAAAATTAGGAAGTTTATTTTCAACCTTCCCAAATCTCCAATAGGTGAGCATGAAGTTTATTACACTTTTCAATATCAAGACAACTGGAAACACAGTATGTGAAAGGACTTATATTTAGAAATGTTATATATGATTTCTATTAGAAAGCCCTTGATAATTTACAACCAAAGTAAGATATGCATTCTCTTAATTTTCTAATCAAAGAATGGTAGTTACTAAAAGTACAAATTTAATTGTTCTCAAATTCCAAACAAAAATATTAATTATTCACTATTGTTTGAAAAATAACAAATTATATGAGTCTAAAAACACCTATGGTGCAGTTTGTCAAGGCTGTTAGGTTAAGATTCGCTGTGGCCTTCAATAACCAAATGTGGGTCTTAGAAAAGTTTCTGTTCTTATCTGCACAAACAGGCAAAATAAATAAAAGAAAAACTGTCCCATAAAACTTTAGACATTGTAGATAAGAAATGATATTACCACAATCAAATCACTAAGCAATTTTTAGGACACTAGAAATCAGGATTCATTGTTACTTAGAAAAAATGTAAGGTAAAGTAAGCTTAATCAGAATATAAACATTGAAAAAACTCTAATTTTTTTTGTTCTAAAGTTGACTCACAATTTATTGTCTTCAGAAACACTTTGGTACAAAATCAACAAATTTCTCCACAAAACATAAAATAATTATGAGATAGGATGTTAGCTAACAAATTTTGTACAGAGTATGATCTATGGATGAAGTTCAAGCATTACTATTAAATTCCTATGTAACATTAACCAGATAGCCTGTCTCTTCATTTTGTTAAAGGAAAAATAATATTGTTCCTGTATACTTAATACATAATAAGATAAATTATTAAAATGTGAGAGCCCTTAAAGTAATTTTTATAGATGGTACAACTATAAGAGCATCATTCTGATGTATACTAATTAAGAATCACTTTGGTTTCTTGTCAGCCAAATTTATTATATTACAATTTTATTGTCTTTTTCTTTCCATCAAATATTATGATTAACTAGATAATTTTCCTACAATCCTAAGAAACATTCATCTAAAGAATTATCTGGTACATAGCACATAGAATATTAAGACATCGTCTCAGAAATCTGGTGAAATTTCAGTCATGAGCTTGTTGTTGGGTCATAGAAGAGAAGGTTATGGAAAACTCCTATGACTCTCAATGGCTTTGGCTGTTGGAATTCAAACATATTTATGACACAGCGTATTTTGTAAATACACTGTGAATGTGAAATCAAACTCCTTTCCATAGTTCCAAGGGATTTGGATAAGAAACCTGAACATTTTAAATCAGTCAGATATAATTATTTTTCTGTAAGTTAGTCTTGTTAGGAATGATGATAGCACTAAAAAATGGCAAAACAAATTCTGGAAAAAAAAGAAAATATTTGGTGGCTTTTATCCTATTTCAGACTGGTTTTACTCAGAAACTGAAATACAGAATTATTTCCCAATTACTTAGTTGTTGGTAGTAGAAATAAGAATCTGAAAAAATGTGCAAGTTAAATAAATACGTCCTAAAGAACAACAACACAATGCCTACAGATTTAGACACAACAGAATAGACTATATGAATTCTATATCATAGGTTTCTGTAAGTTTTATCTGTTAAAAGTTTTAAGGTTGTTCTTTCCTTTGCAGCGATGAATCAAGTTTCTTCTGGAGTCCATTGGGGAATACTCGTTTTTCAGCTAGAAGGCTAGCTTCTTTTTTCACTGCAACATTTATGTTTGCTGCCTAAGTGGCTTCTGTCACATCTTGTTATTTTTGATGTTTTTCATTTTTGAATGTTTCTATAAATAAAAAAAGAAGGGTTTATCAGAAATAAGTATTGAAAATAACCAGAAAGGAAACTGCCTGCTTTCAAATACTGTCGACACTCACATGCATATGGTTTTTGAGAAACGGTTGGAAGCAAAGCAGAAAGAGCCAGCAAAATAAAGAAAAAAAAAAAAGAAACAGAAGAAAGTAAGCTTTTCACTCTTCAGAAACAAGGTAGATACTTGTATGAGGTAGGAGATAATAGCTTACATGTATAAAGTGTTTTTCCGTGGACAAAATGCTTTTCTTTGCGTTTCAGTTCATCCTTATAACAACTCTATCATATGGGTAATGTAAGGTAGAAAACTGAGGCCTCAGTGAAGTTGAGACCTGCCCAGCAATCACATAGCTAGTAAGAAGATGAAGCTGATTGTGTCTAAAAATGTCTGTTTCCAGACTCAACAGGCTTTGGCTGTGGCACTATGCCTCCTGAATAGAATGCAAGCCTATTGGAGTTCTAAGAACTACAGAGGAGGAAAAAGGTACCTAATAATTGTTAAACTGAAGAAAAATCAACAGGCCTCCAGCATAAGCTGTACTATCTAAAGCTCCTAGTTAACATGTACACATACCTGGCATTGAGACAACATCATGTCAGACTCTCAAATAAAGCAAGCTACGCTACGAATAGGAATTGTGCCTATCTTCAGGCAAGACACTTTATTCCTTTCTACTATGGCTTTATGGAGCGCGATGGATGGGTAATTAAAAGAAGCCCTAAAAGTAAGCACTACAAGTGGTCAAGAGGAACAGAAAACCAGAAATCTCTCTGACCCTCCCCTGCTTCTATTGTATTAGAGGTTAGTTAAGTGCTAACTGCCAGGACCTGGAGAGAAAGTCTCTGTTGGTCTTCCTTCTGAGCACTCAATAGCCTATAACTGCCTGCCTCCCTCCCTCCTTCCCTCCCTCCCTCCCTTCCTTCTTTCCTTCCTCCCTCCCTCCCTCCCTTCCTTCCTTCCTCCTTCCTTCCATTTGTTTTCCTTCCCTTCTTCTCCTCTCCCACTTTCCCTCACTTTCTTCTTTTTTTTCTTCCTGCTTCCTCTCTTCTTTTCTTCTTTGAATTATTTTTCTGTAACACTAGCTGTATAACCTAAAGTAATTTACTTTAGGTTACTAACCTTTATATGCCTCATTTTCTCATTTTTTTTTAAAGGAGAAGGAGGAGAATAATGCCTATTGAATGGAATAGTTGCAAAGATAGAATATGTCAATAAATGTAAAAAGACTAAAATTATCTCACTATCTCAGCGATTTTCATGATGTGTGTGAAACACAGAAACAAAATATGCAGTTCTGTGGCTCCTGAGGAGGTCACAGACTACTTGAGAAGGAAGAAAGGTAATGTCAAAGGAGAAAGAAGAGCGATTTCTCCACATACCTTGGTAATTTCCCTAATCATCTGAATTTACTTTCCTCTGTCAACATTTCCATCAGTGTTAACTGGGACTGGGAGCTGGAGTGGTCAGTGGGTTGATGGTGAAGAGAACCTGGATTGCATACTCTCCTAGATTTCCTTCCCTCTCCTCATGATCCACTGTCCTCAATGGCTGCCTTTAGCTTTTTAGATCTTTCTTATATGACAAACAGTAATAAAACCATATACTGTAGAATATACATTTTAGATATAAGAACACAAGATTTTTAGGCAGTATGCCCAGATTTAATTCCCACTTCTATCATTTACTATCTTTGTGACTTTATCTATAAAAAGGAATAACAGCAATATTTCTTCCTTACAGTGCTGCTTTTCTTAGGGAGCAGGGGGATGGGATGAAGGAAAATGAAATAAATGAATTGTAGTACAGAGAATTGGAAACTGAAGACCTAAGTCTGATTCCTGAGTCTACAACTTAACTGGCTGTGTATTTTGAGGAATCTCTGAATTCCATTTCCTTATCAGTGGATAAGTTTTCATTATAATAACTGAATCATAGAGAGTTGAGGAAATACCAAATGAAATAATGAGCTTGCAATTACTTTGTAAAATGTAAAGTGCTACAGAAATATCACTTGCCATTGCCATCTCAGAGTCACATAAAACTATTATAAGCATGCAGTTTGAAAGTTCAATCTGTCATCTTGACAGTTATTTGTCCAACTCTCCCTTGTCAATAAGCTGATTTAAGATAGTACACAGTTAAGCAGAAAAATGGGAGTTGAGGTAATTAAAATAATTAGATTATTTCCAAATAAAAAACTGGGATTTAAACAATCTTAGTTTTAGAAGAGACCTTATACGTCAGCTCACCCTGCCTGATCTAACCCAATCTTCACCCAGTGCAGTGGTCCTCTAAATTACATCTATGCTCTGGTGGCAAGCTCTAGTTGACAGAGCAGGAGATTCCACATTGAATAGAAACTGTGTTTCTTGCATACTACCTTTCAGGAAATCTCAAAATGTGCAAGAAATGTTTTTCTGACAATAATTTAGGTTCTAAAATCCAAATTGATTTAAAGTCTTTATCTTTTTGGCATTCACCTACTCCTTTTGGAAATGTCACAAGTTCAATAAAGAGGTGATGATTCTCATGTTGAAATGGATATTCACTGAACCAATTACTCAGTTGATCAGACTAACTGAGGTATTTGGAATCATGTAGACAAGTTTCCTTGGAGATCAAGTAAATTATTTCATTCATAGAAGAGTAGACATAGAATGGAGTTTCATTTTGCTTTTTGCTTTTCTTTCTCAAAAATACAGGCTAAATAAGTGTCCTTCAATGGTCAGAATTACATCTTTTTAATAATAACTTACAAAATGAAGTTATAAGCATAAAATTACATGGGTAATTATTAGAATAAGAAGGTTAAAGTGAAAGAAAATTTCAATTTCGTTATATTTTAGAGGAATCAAGCTGAAGTATGTCTAAAAGTAATTTACATTCTCTTATAAACCTGATGTTTCCTAAAGTGTTAATTTGAAGGAAAGCTGTTCCCTTGTCACTTTTGGGAAACTTTGAGTGCCAGTCCCCTGAAATTGCTCAATGTGATGGTGAACACTCAAACCTGCCATGAACCATCTACCTCTTTTAGGATGCAACTTGATTGTGGTTTCTTGGAGTCTCTTCTGAACAGTTTCAACAGGATTTTCATTCATGTTTTCATATTTTTACCCACCATTAACTTCCCTTTCCTTTGTATCTTTTGTCATCAAATTGTTGGCTGAGACTGAACAAACAAATAATACAAGTTAATAGCTGCTTTATTTCCCCTCTCATTTGAAGTGATTAAGTGAGTATTGTATCATGTTTCAGAGATGAGTCTTCTATGTGTACTCCAGCAACTGTTTTTGCATACAGAAAATGTTTGATAGAATCCACACATAATCTGTCAAGCACAAGATAGGAGTCTGGGGTTCATTTTTGTATTCAAGAAATACTTACTGTGAACCTCTTATGAGCCAGACACTTTCCTATAACCTAAGGATAGAGCAAACTGATAAAAAATCCCTGCCTTCATAGTGACCTTATGTGGAGTAGGTGACCAATAATCAAAATAAAAAGGACACTGCAAAATATGTTAGAGAGCACAAAGGAGGCAGATAGTGCCAGACAGGAGGGTTATAGTTTTAAAATAAGGTGATAACTAAGAAGGTAACCATTGAATAAAGACCTAAAGGAAGTGAATCTGAAAGCCACATGGATCTCTGGGGAAAGATTATGCCATTTAGATAAAATAGTCTGTGCCAGCCTTGAGGATGGAGCTCTCCTAGGGTTTTTGAGAAACAGCTATGAGGCCAACATATCCAGAGTAGTGAGAAAGGAGAAGTAGAGAGGCCACTGGAGGATATTGAGGAGAGGAGTTACACAATCTGGCTTAAGATTATTATACACTTACTCTGGCTGTTGTGTTGGGAATGGACACTATGGGCCATGTGTACGAGCAAATAGACTAGTTAGAAAGCAAGTGCAAGAATCCAGATGAGAGACAGTGGTTGATAGCAGCAGATAGCTTAGACTTGGTTGGTAGCAGTAGCCATGGAAAAAAAAATGGGCATATTCCGATGTTCTTTGAAGATAAAGCCAATCAGACTTTCTGGTAGAGTGGTGTGATAAGTGAGAAGAAATGAAAGGTTGTTCACAATTCTTCTAGTGCATTATTTTTCAAAGTGTGATCCATAGAACCCCTACAGCAGACTCACCTGAGATACATTGAAACACATCCCCGTGGTATACCTGAATCATACTTTTTCACTAAAGGGCTAGACAGTAAATATCTGTTACCATTACTTGACTGTGCTGATAGAACACTAAAGCAGTCATAGACAATGTTTAAATAAGTGTAGATGTGTTCCAATAAAACTTTATTCATAGATATTAAAATTTGAAATTTATAAAATTTTTACATGTCAAAAATATTATTTTTAAATATTCCTTAACATTTGAAAATGAAAAATCAAACATTCCTGCCACCCCAGCCATAAAAAATCAGGCAATGGGACCTATTAATATTTTACCCATAGGCCATGATGGTTTCCCAGCTCTGCTCTAGAGAATAGATCCCAAGAATATGTATTTTTAACATACACATTAAGCGATATTTTAAAGCACAAGAACTTTCCTGTAAGATAAGTATTTTTATTCTAATTTTAAAGATAAGAAAACAAAATCACAAACAAATGTGACATTCTTTGAATTAGAGCTTAGTCTTGGGTCTGTCTCATTGCAAAACTTGCACTTTCTACCATCCCCCAGCACCTCATGGAATAGTTTCCCAGGGGTTAATATTTCTGTTCAACCATAGATGGAGCAGAGAGCAGAGTAAAAAGAAAAGAAAAAGGTTGCTTTGCCTAGAGAACTGTTTTTCCCTCTCAATATGGTACACGGTTTTGCCTTCATAATTAGCATTCTGCTGATGAGATCTCCCATTGGTGAAGGCTTGCGAGTAAGATTTCCATGAAGAGCAAACACTGCAGGAAATAAATTAATCTCTAGGGAAGAAGAGGGGCCAGGTTGTCAGTGCTCACACAACTTCCTAATAGGAAATGATATTTCAGAATTGTTCAAAGAATGAAATGACTGTGGGTTCTCCTTGCAGCACATTCTTAAACATTTAAATCTTCTGAGAAGAGGGAGATAGGTTGCTATAAAATGAAGAGCAATCCTATAACATTTTTCTTTAGGGTGTCAGTATTTCCAAACTAAAATAGCCTTATCTAGAAGTGTAAAATAAATTCTACTAATATCGTTATTCTGTTTATATTATAAGAAATCTACATTGATGTTAAATATAAAGATGAAAGGACAGATTTTTAAATCATTGGTTAAAAATTATACGATATTTTAAATAACAGGTTTTCTAGACTTTGGAATAAAAGTAATTTTTGCACTTAGAACACTACTTAGAATAACATTGAATTATTGAGGTGTTTCTTCATTAAAATTAAGAAACAACAATGTGCTTTATGATCTAAACTACCTAACTCTTGATCCCATATAATCAGCCTTTCAATTAAGGTCTTTAATATAGAACCTCTGACTTGTCTAATCCTCAAAATGGTCCTGATAGGAAACTACTTAGGTTTTATTTTCCACGATACAAATAGGATCTGAGGTTTACACTAAACATTTAGATTAAACTAAAGCTACAGAATAATTCTTTATTCTCTAGCTTCCACCTTGGCCTAAGAGGAGAGCTTTCCCAGGGAGTTTGTTTTTTTCTGACCTGTTTAAATTCCCAAACTAAGTAGGATCTTAGACAGGGTGAATCACCTGTATGTGAGTCTCACTTAGAAATAAGACCATTTGAGTCCAACAGTTTCAATGTTCTAACTCAGAGTAAGCCAGAGGATCACAGGCTTTCAGAACTGACAGGGCATACAGATTATCTGGTATACCCACTATTTTGATGGAGAAAGTCAAGCTCAGAGAAATGAAATGGCTTCTGAAATGCTATGCATCTAGGTTGTGGCAGAACTGGGACTCAAACTTGGAGTGCCTTGGGTTTCATTTTCTAGCCCAGGGTTTGTCTTACTACTTGACTAGTCTAATTTATGAAGGACAAGCAGTGACACAGATTTAGTGTAAAGTTGTAGGGAAAATTCGAAGAACATAGTCAAAGCTACAATAGGAAGAAAATTACATTAGAAAATATGGATCAGGAGAGTATAACATTTGCTTATTAGAAAACATTTATGTTTATGTAGGACAAAAACAAATAAGCATATTTAAAAGGTCATCCTTCCTGGCAGTGATTTGAGTTTCTAGAGAGACATAAGGAAGAAAAAGGAAAATGGCCCCCTGTTTAGCCAGGAAGATAACCGGAAGCAATGGCAGCAATTAATGAGTGACCCACATAATAATCAGATCCTCCTCAGAACTAAATAATCATCCTCTTGTACCAAATGGCTGCGCCCTTGGCTGAAAAAAAGCCACATTGCCCATAACCATAGACCCTTCTCAGGGACAGCTGCATCCAATGATTGTTTGATGCAGGGGGTATAAAGGTCTGTTCCCCACCCCCTAATTCAGGACAACCCTGAAGAACCATGCCAGCTCCAGATCTCCCTATGGGATCAGTTGAGGTCTTTGTTGTGACTGTATCATGATTCAATTTTTCCCTCTGCCCAGACCTGCTTCTGGGACTCTGCCTCAAGCGCTGTTCCTGGGAGCACTTTCCAATCAACTTTCCACATGTAAATCAACCCAGGGAACTGGATGCAACAAATAGTTCAATGAAAACATTTCCACTTAACACATGTTATTACTAAAAATAGACCTTAAGCTGAATAAACATTGAAGCCCTGTGTTCCTCCTTAGCTATTGCTGCTGAAGTAAGATGGGGAAAGAGTCCATTAGAGAGCGTCAGGGCATCCATGTCTCTACACAATTGGAGTGTTTCTTTTACTCTGAGGAATCAGTGACATCATCAAAAAGGGTTTCTCACCCCCTCCATGTTCATAGCATTCACAAAGGCTATAACATTTCCAAGAGCATACTGCTCTCAAAGGCAAAAAATGCAGACAGAAACTCAGAGACTGAAAGATCCATAACATCAAGTCGCCACAGCCAGCAATTTACAGAGCGTATCATAGGAAAACAAAGTTTTCCTTAGCAATCAATTCATAAAGATTCAGTAGTTAATTATTATAGCCTGACTTCATTGTAGCTTATTATGTACTCTACTAACTTTTACCTATTTGATCTAATATAATCTTCAAAAAAAAAAAGCACATGGTATAGCACTACTAGTAACTCAATTTTACAAATAAAGGAATAGTCTTAAATAACTAATTGCTCATGGTATATAGCTACCTAATGGGGGAGCCAAAATGTAAACCCAGAAATCTCAGTTCAGCCTCTGAAGGTCTGCACTTTATCATTCTATCACTTAATCATCCTACTTTCAGAGAACTTTTTTTTAAGTAATTTATGGATAAAATAACATGTAGAATTAATAATAATGTTCTTAAAATAAGGCATGGGCATCACTAAGCAACAAGAGTGAATCAAGGACCCACAGAAGAAGGTCATCTAGAATCTGGTGAAATGTTTTCATCAGTTTCTTAGTGAAGACATCAGTGGCTGACAGCACTGATCCTGAGTGAGGTTTTACCGTACTCTTGGCTGGAATAGAGTCTTATTACACAATTCGTGTTCAGTCATTCACAGCAAAATTTCAGTTGTTGACATTGAATACCAAGATAACTAGTTTCCTTAGTACAATTATTAGATACATATTTGAAAAGGTTCCACCCCATGTAACTGAAAGAATTAGGTCTGGGTATCCTGAAAGAGCAACATTAGAAAAGCAAAGCAGCACCCCTATCTTAATTAGGCTTTTTTTTTTTTTAAGTCAGTGATATGCTACAAAGTCTCTGCAACTGTTACTCTCGTCAAAGAGAATTTAGGAAATGACTGACTTATGTCTAAGCATTAGAAAGAGGAGAAAGCTCAGAAAAGGCCTGCTCTACCCATCCTGAACTCAAAGAAGGCTACTACATATTCCATGAGCTATCCATATGAAGTATGGTAAATGTTAAGTATGGCTCCAGTGAGTCTTTTTTTTGGAAATGAAGAACATATACTATATTATATAAGATGAAAATAAAGTTTGAAAAATTATATTTTTGCTCTACTTTTGTATTTTTATATATAGAATTATCACACAATTATAATCCATAAGGAAGAAATACTGTAATTATTGCATTTACAAATGGGAAAGCAAATAAAAATATTGCCAAGATGTTCATACTGGGTAATTTCTAAATAAATGCATGTTAAAATCAAATTGATCTAGGAAAGGAGATTCCATTTTACTCTCTTGAATGAAGTTAGGGGGTCTCACTTGCCTAGAACCACTGCTTTAATTCCAGGTCATCTTTGTCCCTAAAATCATCACTTACAAGTAATACGTTCAAAGCAGGTGCTGCTCTGGTCTGTAACATACGCTGTACTACTCACTCAAGGCACAAAGCTGGGACTACTGCTGTACCATCCCAGAAAGATTCACATACAAGAGAAGATTAGATAATGTTTCCCTCTGATTGAAACAAAAACTTTGATCTCAGGAATTGTGTTATCTGGTACTTTTTAGAATCCACAATCTTAAAGAAAGAAAGAAAAACAAGTTCCAATGAATTAATAATGGCTTGAGACTCAATGCGCTGCAGCAATTTTCACTGCAGTGGTTGTTTCTTTTATAGTCATACTTGATTAGTATTAGAAATTTGGAGGAATTGCAATATGCGTGATTTTCAAAGCCCTTTACAGAATTTCATTTTTCTCTCTCGGAGAGAGTCAATGAAAAGGTAATAAGAAAAGCTCTATGGGACTTTTTTATAGGAGTGTCAGAAGCCAGTAAGCTAACTACATGAAAGAACCCAGATTGTGCAGACAGGGTTTGGAGCAGAAACACTTCAGAGACTTTATCTAGTATTTTGACTTTTATATGTCCTTGGAGAAGAAAGCATGCTAGCTACAAAACCAAATAAGGAGGAGAAAGGAGCAAACCGTATGCTTAAGAATAATTACAGTTTCAATTTTTGTATGAACTAAATGTGAAGTTTCAAAGATAAAGTGTAATAGAAATTGAGGGGGTTTGGTGTGTCTAAAATATTGGCAAGAAACAAACTTCTTATTTCCCTTGCTAGCTCATCCCAAATTTCTGCCATATGGAAGTTAGTCTGGGTAGCTTAATTGAATGCTATCAACTCCTCCACAAGTCCGTTTGCTTTTGTTTTGCACTCAGTAGAGATGAAAAATATCAGATCACAATCTCTATAAACTAAACCATCATAATTCAAGCTTGCATTCAGTGACTTATCTGACGCTTCTTTAAATTTAAAACATCTCAATTATTTTAACCTCTTTTCAAGACAGTAATTCTTCTTGTTCATTGTTCCAGCAAAAATATTATTATCACAACAATACAAGTAATCTTGAAATATTTCATTGCCATGAAAACCATAAATGAGGTGAAAAATCTAATAGTGGAAAACAATAAACATTACTATTATTATTGTGAGTGTTCAATATCATGCTTCACATAAATCTTCATTTCAATGTGATTGGCAGAGCAGGGTGATCACTTGGGCTGAGTCATATATTCCAAATAAAATAATAGTAAGAATCTGTCCATTGCACCTTTGTCATGTGGACAGTTAAACCACCGTGGTTTAACTGACCTATAGTCACATCAGTACCTGCTATTGCTGTGGCCCCACGGTTGCTCCTTTCTTTCTCTTCATCCACCAAATCATTCTGACTACCAATCAGTACTTTTGAATCCAGGCCAGCTTGATTTGGGTGAAGTTTCTTGGTTATGTCTACGTGATGACGCTGAAATGACACAGGTCACAAGTAAATTATCAGTCCAAAATAAATGCTTCATAGAGATATGAAAGATTTATCACATGGCAATTCATTTCTGTATGTCTGAAACAGAACATTTGACATGTCAAAGCAAGCTACAAATTATATGTTCATCAATATATTTTGGAAACTGAGGTGTACAATTTTTGAAGCAATCTAAGTAACTAGAATAAGAAGTCATTTTAGGCATAGAAAACCATCTGCAAAGACTATTTGTGTATATTACTTTCTTCTTGTGAAGCTTATAAAATATTTTTCATTTAGAAAATTTTTACTTAGTTTTTATTATTATAGTTAACTAATCCAGCACTTCATTATATATTACATAATTACATATTATATAATCAAAAGCAGATTTCATTTCTGTATCATCTGTACTCTTTATATAAAACAAATCATAACATCTACTATAAATTAAACCACATTTTTAATCAGCATTATGCAAATTTGACAAAGCTCCTTTAGTCAATTTCAGAGTAATAATTCATCATAACAATGAATTATTAAGGCACAGCATCAATGGTCCCTATAACTCATCTCACATGTAAGAGATGTCACAGCATTTGACATTATACTGACACACTGTATGCTTCAAAGAATCATCAGATGGGAACAAAAAGTGAAGACTTCAATTGGAAATTAAACTTCCAGTACTTAATTAATTCATACCCAAGTCCAGACTAGAAGTTTGTCAAATTGAATAAGATTACAGAATATGTGAAGATTCTCAGCGTAAATATTAGCTAATCAATTATGGCCATTCAGGCTAGCCATGTTGGCTCACTAAAGGATAGTATAATGGACAACTTTCCTGTAAAGTTTCTCCTGTAGACCATATATTGCATGAAATTCATTAAAAGCTTGATTTTATAAAATCAACCACTTTTAAAGCTTGAGAAAGGCCAATAAGGAAATTAGGCTTTAGAATGATTAAATAATTCACTTGAGTTAACAAAATGAACAGTGCTGAGCCTTACGATATGAATCCTGAACTTTGGACAGTGTTCTTCATGATTGATTTCTTAAGATTTTTAATGTGGTGGACTGGATGTATGGATAGCCCTCATTCTTCACCCATCTCTGTATCCATGTCCTTTCTATAGAATTTTGCAGGGCCCTCCTACTCTGACTTTTGGCCTATCAATGTGGCTTCTTCTGGCCCAATAGGATATTGACACAGAGGCTTGAAAGAGGCTTGCACAATTGTTTTTGCTCATTCCTTAACTTCCACTATGCCATGAGGCTATGCCTAGACTAGCTGGCTGCAGATTGAACATGAGATGGGCAGAGTTAGGTCACCCCAGTTGTCCAAGCTGAAGCAAACAACAGCCAGAGGAGCCCCAGACGTTTGGGTGAAACCAGTCTAGATCATCTGAGACCAGCTCAAGTCAGATGAATTCCACAGCTTCATGAACTAAATGAATGTGATTTTGGTTGTATGCCATTATGTTTTTCTGGTGGTTATGCAGCATTGTATGCTGACGGATAACTGGTACATTCAACCACCGTCTATCTATAGTATCCCAGATAATGGATGTGGTGTGAGAATACAAATATAACATGACATTCTCTCAGACTCCAAATTATTCAAACACAATTTCTTACATTGCTTATGCAGATAATTAAAATAGAGTGTGGTAAGTCATTTGTAGATATTTCTCAATTCCTTTTCTAATGACCAAGGAAGGGATCCTAGCAATACTACAAAAGACAGCTCAAAAGATCAGTTTGGATGTTGGTATCAACTAGAACTAAACCACCCCACTTGTTTATTTTTAGCTCCTCCACAGTCCACAAAAATATAAGCCCATCACTGTAATTTTTAAAATTTATTGTCAGGCCTCTATTATCATGTAGTTTTTGGAAAGAAGCAGATTTCAGCATCCAACTACTTTCCTGATTCTGAATTACATACCTTTGAAAAGTATATTATTATTTCAAGTTATGACATGAGTATTAAATCACAGTTTCTCAGAACTGAGCAATGCAATAGATCAAAGAAGGAATAAGCTTCATGTTTGTTCATACCAAATTCAATTGAAAATATTAAAACATTGAGGGAAAGTTAAGAATTCATGCAAGTTGTGTATATTCTAATATATTCCAGACTGAAAATAAAAGAAATGCTGAGTTTATTTACTCATAAAAGGATTGTTGTGAAAACCTGAGAGAGAAAATAGCCCCTTCATCAGAATAGGTTCTGTATTGTAAAGGTTCTGTGCTTCCTGGTGCAAACCTCTGGCACACTGGACATTTTATAAACATATTAGTGTTTCAGTAATTAAGAGCCTCATTTTCCTGGAAACAGTTCCCACAGTGGAGTCTCTTCTTAAGCAACCCCTGTCAGATTTTCCAGCTTCTCTTTTACATTACATATTATAGCCAGGCTGCTGTTCCCAGGTCCTAACGTAAAGGGAGGTAGGTGTCTCTTAAGTTGCTGACCTTGCCACACTCGCTCTTCCTTGTTTACTTAGCCCCTCCTTCTAGTTCCCTGGGTCTGCACATTATACCCTGGCATCTCTTTTCTGCTACAATAAAATTCCTACAGTGTTTCATTCTTAATTGCCCAACTGCCCTCCACTAACCCTCAATTCTCTCTCTTCCCTCTCCCCTTTCCTATTTCTCAAATTCTTCCACCATGCCTTGATAACTTTGCTTTATGGTTTGCAAACTTCACTACCTGTTCAACTTCTTTTCTGAATATTGTCTCTACCTTCTTACCCTGACGAAAATCTCATTCTTCTTTGAAGACACCTCTTCTTCTGTGAATGATACTGCCTGCTTATTCTTCCTCATCCCTGTTACCCTTAAGTTGGAGGATCCCCTTCTCTGAGTGTTGTCCGTTGCAACCTTACCTCCTTGCAAAACATGTCTGCTACTTTGATATTCCTGTCGTCTAACTGTGTGCCGTCTCCCTTCTTGTTGGTATCATCTATCTACTAATATCCATGCATTTTTCATAAAAAGGCTTTGACACCCAGACTTTTGTCTTTTCTAGCCTCAGCATCGCTATGATCTTGGACAATATCCATATCTACATAAACATTCTGTCTGATTCATCCCTGGATCTCCTTACTACAAATGAACTTCTCATTTTTTCTACCTCATGCTTTCAGTCCCAAGATCACATCTGAAGTCTATCATCAGCTGAAATGTTTCCACCTCCAATATTAAGTATGTTCCTCTTTCTCTTCATCTCCTATCCTCAAGTTTATTCTCTCCACTCCAGCCAAATCTCCTTCTCCAAGACTGCTTTTTCCACAGTTTCTGCCAAGGCTATTTGTGGACCTCACTGGGATCTGAGATCCACTGATCCCTCTACTTTCTCTATATCCATCACCCCTTTGCTCTTTTTCCTTTATTCTCTGTCCAGCATCCATTGCTGCTCAGAAACTTCAATCTGGAAGACTTCAACTTGTTTTACCTGCCAGACTTCAACTTGTTTTACCTCTCAGCAGCATCTGACATGTCTGGTCACCTCCTTCTTTTGGTTTCTGATGTTCCTCCTTCCACTCTGAGTGCTTATTCTTAGTCTCCTTTGCTGGAGTATCCTTCTTTACCCAAACATTGCGTGTCAAGAGGTCTCAAGGTTCTGTTATTCTCCCAGTTTTCTTTTTTCCATTCCTAGATAATTTCAGCAATCATGTAGCTTGATCTACCACCTGTATGTTTATGACTCCAGCGGGGAGGTAGAGATTTATGAAATGAGATGAGGTGTAGAGAGGCAGGAGCTTGCATGCCTTAGTAAGCACTCTGGACTCTAATTCTAATGTCCTTTCAGGTCCACAATCTCATCACTCTTCCTTCCTGTCTGAAGGCTTGGCTATTCTGTTTGCCTAGGGCATTCTTAGTAAAATTTCCCCCTTAATATTAAGAAGTCCTGGGTTCCTGCAAGTGTCACTCACTGTATAAACCTTAGCCAGCACCCTATTTTCTAGTCTTTGTGCACCTTGTACTTCTACTATAATGCAATTTTTATAATTACAATCAAATAATAGCTGTTTTCATGTTTAATGTCTATCTCCCTGGCTAAAATAAAACTCCCTGAAAGTAAAAACTATGCATGCCCTGTTCACTGTCTTGAGCTCTCATCTCAGGGTTTTAAATATAATAGGCATTAAATAACTACATATTAAATAAATAGGAAAATTCATGAATAAAACATGACTTAATTTTTATGACTTTTTCTTTAGCCAGTTATCAGTGGCCAGTATATAGTCACACTCACATGCATAAGCAAGTTTGTGTATATCATCACTCCTAACAGTACTGCTTACATTATATATTGGTAGATAAAATGCAGTTACATTTTACTTTGTTTTATCCATAAAAAACACATATTTCAAATCCTGTGCTTTTAAATAAACTCATTACAGAAATCATGCAGAACTGTATTCATACAGTATCCCATATAGCTCTGAATCAAATTACATTGGTCATCTATCTATGGAAGTTATAAATCTGAGAATTGTTATGTTAGAGAAAGTGAGAATTGAGAACTAAGTGTGTAAACACAGTGGCCCCTATTACCCTAGGCATGAGAATGTGGCCTGACAACAACTGGAGAAATAAAATCCTCTGTCAGATCCTGCTTCTGTGATGTCAAGTCTTCAACCTGAAGGTTGGGTCCAGAGGAAAATGAGAAATTAAAATGTTTGCAAAGAATGGAGAGGAACATAGATAAATTTGAACTGCCATGCATCAGTCCTCTGTGACCACGCTGTAGTCGTACTTCAAAAAATAAGGTTCTGTTTATTCTATGTAATTTCCATTTAACTTGTTATTAGAAATGAATCATTACAATCCTGTCTGCTAATTTGAAATGACTATTAAATTATTTTTATGTTATTCTTGGCTTGTATTTTGCATGTTGTTTTTAATGTTCCTGCTAAAGGTAATGATGAAATTATAATGTACTGAATATTTGTCTCACAAACAAAGAAAGGAACAAATAAATATTACCAAAAAAAGTTAACCAAGATGTCCACAAAAAAAAATTGGAAAGAGCTCTTCAAATCTATCTTTCATCTCATACCTAAGGCCATGCCGTTGAATAAAATCATACTTTTTCAATTTATTCAGATTCCTAGTTCATGATTGTATTTATTTGTGCCCCTTCTCCCCAAGGGCAAATGGGCTTGTTTTTCTTTAGAGAGCTACAAAGGACCTCTCTTAGCCAGGGACTAAACATCACTCATATTTAAAGCAACTTGAAGTATCCTAGATAATGTACTTTACTTTTTACTTTGTAAAAAAATCAATCCTCTCCTGACTAAAAAAAGCAACCTCCCTCTCTGCTTATATAAACACTGCTACTTTCCACTGCCTGTACTTTTTCACTTCAGAAAGTACACTTAAGTGAAGAAATTTCAAGTGATATTTGAGAAGAAATCTCTCATTAACTAACTTTCTTCCAGAGAATTAAATTCTACTTAAAATAAGAACAATGACAATAATTCAGAGACTATACATAAATAAAAGAGAATAAAAATCGAATCACATCAAATACAGGCTTGCTGGGAATATGCAAATTATCATTGTAGAAATGCATTCTGTATGTAATCTGTCTCCTACTGTGTGTGTGTGTGTGTGTCTGTGTGTGTGTGTCTGTGAGTGTGTTCTCTTCTGTTTGTTATATAGTTGAATCACCATAAATAATTTAGAAGATGATCAAGTGTTTTTTATAAAAACTAATTAATTCATCATTGTGCATTATAAAGGTCCATAATATGATAGAGGCAAATATTTTTTTAAAAAGCAAGAATGTAAACTGTGAAAAATAATCTAAAACTGATCATCCATATAGACAGTCATTTCTTTTGGGCAATATTCTGAGGTTTTCTACAATGATCCATACATACTCAAACTGCCCTTTCTGCACAGAATGTCTTCTTTATACCAATTCAAAGAGATGCTTCTGAGCTTGTTCAGCCCTATCCCAAAGACATGCTATCTTTTGACCCTTTCCTGTACCTTGCAGCCTTACGTTGTTTACAGAGGGTTTGCTCAAGCCTGTGTTTGGCAGGACTTGGTTCATCAGCTCATCAGAAGCTCATTTCCCCTTTTCTGCTCCTCCTGGAGCTTTAAGCTGTGACCTTCCCAGGTGAGAGTCCTTGCTGGCATCACTTACCCTCCTTTGTTAGTGCTCCTCCTCCCTGGACCATTCACACCTTCTTATTCAAATGTGACCTTGCTGGCTTGGTCTGGGCTGGCAGTTGATCAGGAACTTCACCAGCAGTCACAGGTGTTTGCAAGTGGCTTGACACTAAGACATTCTTGGGCCCAATAGTGGTTAACAAGAGGGACAGAATCTTTCTTTTGTGCTTATTCCAAGTACCTCCAGAAAGTCAGACATTTAAAAGAGTTGGTATCTACCCTGAACTTTTCTTGGGTCGGAGGACAGACAGTAGCCCTATGGAAAAGAAAGATGCCTGAATCTATTTCCCTAGTTGCTCTAATAAGAGAAGACAGCACCCCATCTCAATCCTACAAAGACCTCTTCTTCTTCCTGGACTGGCTGGGACTAGACCCAAGAAAAACCACCCTTGCTGTAACTGATTAGAAATCATCTCACATATCATATATCAAAGATCTTACTGTGTCCTGTGGGAAAGAAATTCTTCATTACTATTAAGATTATTTTATACTTCACTTTCAAGATATGTTTCAAGAATATGTCAAGCATTAAAGTAAGAGATTAACAGTACTCATATTTCAGATATAGATTTCACTTGCATCTTCCTCTATTTTCCCTGATGAAAACTGGGATCTAGGTAATTTGATATCTAGAAGTCCCACCATCTTGATTTATGTTGATTTAATCACACTCTTGGAAAAAATCAAATACTAGTTCATGGATGCGGGAAGAACTCAATATAATCACATACTTTGATTGAAATGAGTTGAAGAATTTTCATCTACAATACTTAGGTGGAGAACCTCTTCACATACTTCCATCAAGCTCAAATCAATGTGCTTCTTGCTACTCTAACGTTCTGTGAATTTAGCCAAAGACGAAATGAAGATTTGAAGCAAGGCTTAGCAAACACTTCTTACTTTAAAATGAGGTCTGAATAGACAGCTAATCTGTACAATTATTATTCTTAATAATTGCATTTTAAGGAGATAAAAATTCCTTCTACTCTCAAAGATGTCAGCCTTGTCACTCCAGATATTGGACAATCATGCAAAATAATTTGCGATTTTAGAGACGCTATGGCAAGTGCCTCCTCTTCAAAATGCCAAAGTTGGCTTACTCAAAATGCTGATGTAATGCACACTGGAGTAGCTCTTTGTGTAGAGATAAATCTTCTTCCTTATTTTGTCTTCCTGAAAATTTGGAAGTAATTAATTTGCATGATTATTGTCATAACTTTCATAGCTCCTATTTTAATGGGAAATCATAACTCTTAGAGTCTGTAAGTGTAATCTGTAGCCAAAGGGCAGGAAAATTAATCTTATTTTAAATTATGAAAACAGAAATTACAGTGGAATCAACTATGTGACACATTTTTTGTTAGATGAGCTTTTGGTGAAATTAGTTTTGAATTAGTGGACATATGAATAGCATTTGAACAGTGTCCAGCAGGGCGACAGTTGCTGCAGATGACAGATGGGAACTGTGGTGTACTTTATAATAGGTCTGTCTGTATCTAGGAAAATTATTCTCAACTCATTTATTAAAAATTACCTTTGAAATCATCTTAGCCTTCTGAGTATTAAAATACAGGCTTTCACATGAGTCTTTAAAAGGTAAATGTCCTGGCAATCTGATTTAAAACATTGCTGTATTATTATTTGAGCTAGAAATGATTTTGATGAGTATGACTCATCTCACTATTTCTTCAAGCCTTCAAATTACTGTATATAAATTATCAAATGGCATTCTTGCTACCAAAGTGTTGCTAAAATATAAAATGCATGCTCTGTTGTGAATAGGTGCCCCACATAGGATGTGGTCCTTGGAGCCTGCTTTCTATCTCCTCAGCTCAACTTAAGCCTGGCACCATTTCTTTGAAACCCCTTCCCATAAAAGGCTGCTCTTCTGACCTCCTCTAATTCACAAGCTCTATTTCTGATCCCTCTTTTAAGGAGCATTGTCTGGCACCACCAACCAACACTTTTTTGAAATTTCTATAGATCCAGGCATGGCTCTTCATCTTCAGGATCCCTCTCCATTTTGCTCAGAATGGCCTCTAGCTCATGTTATCCTGTTTGCTTTCCCTCTCCAAACATGACATCAACAGACCTTAATATTCACACCACTGTTGAACTTCTTTTTAGTCTTTTTTAGCCTCTTGTAAGTACAATCAGAACATGGACCTCATTGTTCGTCAGAATTTCTCCATCCTCACGATCTTGGATTCTAACACTCTCCTCTGTGCTCTCACTTGCTGCTTCTAACACTGCTCTTCCCTCTAGGTCTTATTTTTTGGGGGCGTTGTTTTGGTTTTATTTTTCATCAAAAGCAATACATTCACGTTGTAATAAATCAAACAGTGCAGAAGAGTTAGAAGGGAAAGCAAAAGCCTCTTGTCCCAATATTTCCAATCCCCCAAAGCAACTTCTTTCTTACTATTTCTGCTTTTTAGTTTTGCTGGAGGCTACATCTGTAACACTTGCTTTGCACATCGTGACTTACCAGCTTAAATTACTAGCTTTCAAATATTAACATAAAAGATAAATATTTAGTTAATTTATACCAACTCATTCCCTTTCCATTGTTGTATGATCAGTCATTAATTCAGCAAGTATGCAATGAGCAACAACTATGCAAAGGTAAAGGTATTGGGGATATGGTACTAAGAAAGAAGAGGCAAAGAATTCCCTGCCCTCCTTGTGTTTACATCCTGTGTGTGTGAGTTGGGATTGGGGGTGAGGTGGCCGGGAGGAAGAACCAATAACAAATACATCAGGAAAATACATAGAATGAGTTCAATGGAAAAAAATGAAACAGAGAAGCGGATAGACAAGGTAAAGTAGGGCAAGAAGGTTGCAATTTTAGATAGTTTGACATTTGAGCAAAGATTTAAATGAGAAGATTTTTCATTATATTTGAGCAAAGATCTGAATTAAAAACATCTTTTTATTTGATTACATTTGTATCTTCAAATACACTTGAACCCCCCTCTCACTTTTTCATTTATTTTTACCTATTGGCTTCTTCCTTGCCTCACTTGTTTCCCTATCCAAGAGGCTTTAAAACCTGCATATTAACAACTTTCTCACTGTGGCTATCAGATATCAGATCCTCAATTTCCATTCTACTCCCTTTACCAATTTATTCTCTCTCTCTCTCTCTCTCTCTCTCTCTCTCTCTCTCTCTCTCTCTCTCTCTCTCTCTCTCTTCACTCATCCCCAGAGGTAGCAAGCTCATTGCTGGTTTAAAAGAAAAAAAAACTTGAAATTTTCTACTTGTTTCTGACATACATTCATGTTACCTGGTGACATGTGGTTCCTCAGTGTTGCTCAGTTTTTCCAAGGATCTCTGCTTCCCTTCCTTTCGAGAGGTCTATGGAAGATATTTCAAGCCTTTTTCTCTTTTATCAAAGCTCACAGTGGAAATCCAGCATTCCTCATTTTAGAATGTTACTCAACCACTTAATTCATTGAGATGGTGGCCATCTGAAATCAATTCCCATAGCTCTCCTCTTTCCTTAGAAACAACACTTGATTTCTTCTGTTTCTTACTGACTCACAAAATGTCCAGTCCTTTTTCCAATGTGAGTGCCTCCCCCTTGGAATATGACCCTTTCTCTTCCACTCTTCCCATGACATACTTAATCAATCATTCTTCCAACCTCTCATGTATTCTCCGACTCTCCTCTTCCATTGCCTCATTCATTTTTCTGCCAAACTTTAACAAGAGCAATCCGCTTACTGCTCCTTTTGTTCCCTCAATTGTTTGCTTTATAATTAAGTTCATTCGAGTAATGAGTTTTCATGGCTGTCACCACTGAAAATGAAATGCCACAAAGGTATATGGATCCAAACAGGAAAAGTATATTGTTAATCACTCTAAGTCATGATGCATAGGTTTCAAAAATATCTACCAATTTTGCAAAGATTTGTTAAAAATGGCTAATACATTTTGATCTACCTTGATGTCAAATTATTTTTAAAAGATAAACTGGCTGAGCATGGTGGCTCATGTCTGTAATCCCTGCGCTTTGGGAAGTTGAGGCAGGAGAATCACTTCAGGCCAGGAGTTTGAGACAAGCCTGAGCAATATAGTGAGCCCCTGTTTCTAATAAATAAATAAAAAGCCAGGAGTGGTGGTGGGTGCCTGTAGTCCCAGCTACTCAGGAAGCTGAGGCTGGAGGATTGCTTTAGTCTAGGAGTTCAAGGCTGTAGTGAGCTGTGATTGTGCCACTGCAGTCCAGGCCTGGGCAACAGAGACAGACCCTGTATCTATAGGAAATAAAGAAAAGAAAAGAAAAGAAAAGAAAAGAAAAGAAAAGAGAAAAAAAGAAAAGAAAAGAAAAGAAGAGAAGAGAAGAAAAGAGAAGACAAGAGAAGAGAAAGAGAAAGAAAGAAAAGGAAGGAAGGAAGGAAAGAAGGGAGGGAGGGAGGGAGGCAGGAAGAGAACAAACGAAAGAAAGAAAGAAAGAGAAAGAGACAGAAAGAAGAAAGAAAGAAAGAAATGAAAAAGAAGGAAGGGAGGGAGGGAAGGAGGAAGGAAAGAAGGAAGATTTGAGATAATATATTTAATCATTTAATGTTTTTATTATTGAGTTTAAAATTCACTGCAATTCTTTGGAAGATTTTATCAAAATTCAGAAATTTTGCTTCCATGTTTTTAAGGTTTACAACATGAGAGGCTTCATAGGTTGCACACTGTTTTCAGCAATGAAAGCATATAACATCAAAAATATTCCAAAACAATCCATTTTCAAAATATTCTCCATAGAATGATTCTTTTACTAAAGTTATGTTTTTATCTTTTAACTAAAGGGCCAGCTCAAGTGTGTATGTGTGTGTTCCTGGCTACCAACAGGCACTTATCCTGGATGAGGTAGGCAAATTTGAATGCTCACCATTTCGTAAAATAAAACTTAATACTAATACATCTTTAATTTTGTGAAAAGTATTCTTTCATGAGATGATTAGCAAATTTTTAGATGATGCAAAACAATGCCATAGTCATTCCCCTTCTCACAGAGTATCATGAGGGTCCCACTGTATTTTTAAAACTTTGCTTCTATAAATTAGGCATATTTAGTACATCCTGCAGAATTCAGTGAACCTCTGGTTATAATTTCTTTGCTGCAATAACATTTCTATAATGACACTGGGGATTTCATATGTGAATTTATTTTTCCAGGCTTTTTCAAGAAACACTTTAAAAATTCTGGACAATGCAGCTACTGTATCAGTGGTTGTACTTACTTAACTTATCCATAAAGAAATGCTTTCACTAAAGAAGTCATTAAGGGACAGAATAATGGCTTCTCCAATGCATAAAAAATGCTTCTTTGTGTATTTCATTATTGAAACATAATCACGTAAATATAATAAACAGATATGTCGGGGAAAAAAAAACAGAACTCTCATGCAACTTATAGAAAAATCTCCCTCAACTGAGTCATTTGTTCATACAAACTATAATAACAGCTAACATTTATTTTGTGCTTACTAAGTGTCAGGCATTATTCTAAGCTGTGACATGTATTAGCATATTGAAATCTTCGGCATTTTTTTTTCTAAGCATTTGTCAAGGGCATTTTCAGAAAAAAAAAAAAAGGTTCTAATTTGTCACCGTATTGTTCATGTGATTTTCACCGTATTTTGGAAGAACCATTGTACTTCCATAATAGGTAGCTTTTTCTTTATTGCTACTTTTTTTTTTTTTTTTTTTTTGAGATGGAGTCTCGCTCTGTCGCCCAGGCTAGAGTGCAGCGGCGCGATCTTGGCTCACTGCAACCTCTGCTTGCCAGGTTCAAGCGATTCTCCTGCCTCAGGTTCCCGAGTAGCTGGGATTACAGGTGCATGCCACCATGCCCGGCTAATTTTTTTTTTTTTTTTTTTTTTTAGTAGAGATGGGGTTTCACCCTGTTAGCCAGGATGGTCTCAATCTCCTGACCTCATGATCCGCTCACCTCGGCCTCCCAAAGTGCTGGGGTTACAAGCGTGAGCCACCTTGCCTGGCCATTTTTTTTTTTAACTCGTAAGAGTTAACATTAATTTTGGTGAATCTTAAATGTTACGCAGTATTGGATTGAGTATACCATAATTTTATACAGTGCTGAAAAACTATAGACAAGTATCTTCATATTCTCGTTGCTCAGTTTTAAAATATATTGTTAATCATTATGGTTTCATTTTCCCAGTGGCTAATATCACATAACATGGCGAAGTTTTTTGTCACTATGAGTGTTTGTAAATTTTCATTTCAATCATTTTTAGGATTTCAAATTTTTGCCTTACATTTTGATGGGTATGGTTCATTCATCTGTATTTTTTTCCTCCTAATACCAGAAGTGTGAAAACTGTCAGGTTTTTAAAAATGGTTCTCTTTTGCTTATAAGTACAATATTTTATTTACAATAGTATATAATACTTTCATGAAATGCACAAATACTAAGGACACAGCTCAATGACTTGATATAAATTGAATGTACCATGCAACCATTACCCAGATCTGGAAATAGAATATTAGTAATCCCAGCAGCTCCTTCATGCCTCAACCTAATCACATTTCCAGTGCCTTTCCCCCAAAGCTAGCCCTCATTCTGACACCTAGTATCATAGTTTAATTTTCTCCCCATTTGGGAACTTTGTATGCTTTGAATCATATAACATATTCTTTTGTGTCTGGCTTCCTTCTTTATATCCATAGCATCATTCCATTGTATGGATAAACCAAAATGCATTTACTTACTCTACTACTGAAGAATATTTGAGTAATTTCCAAGTATTAGCTGTTACAAATAATGCTGTTGTGAATATTCCTGTTCATGTCTTTTTGTGCACGTGTCACACATTTCTATTCGGTGCACATATGAATACGTTGCTGTAGACATGTCAGTGCTGGGTCACATGACAGCTATAGTAGAGCCTGCAGTTTCCCAGAGTAATACACTCTCTACACGGGTATGTGAAGTAGCAGTTTCTCCATATTCTTGCTAAGACTTGGTACTCTCAGTCTATTTAACCATTCTAGTGGATTTGGTGTTGTTCGTGTTATCTCCTCATTGGTTTAATTTGCATTTCCCAGATGACTGATGAGATTAAATAACTTTTCAATGTTATATTGCTCATTGGAAGTACTTATTGTGAAATACCTAATTTGTGAAGTAACTATTTGAGTTTTTGCCCACTTTGTCTATTGTGCTATTTGTATTTTTGTATTGACTGATAACATTTCTTTATATATTCTGAACACAAATTTTTTTTGGTATCCCTTATCTATTTTGCAAATAGCTTCCTCTGCTTTGTACCTTGCGTTTTCACTTCCTTAATGTTGTTTCTAGTGATCTTTAATCCGCAGGTTGTTTTCAGTAATTCTAAAAATTGCTTGTCCATCTTGTGAGATTTGGTTTTGTTTAAACTAGTTAATACAATGTTCAAAGAACTTAACCAGGTTCATTGAATCTGCAGCCTAACAATTCGCTGACATCAAGGGTGCCACTGTGCACCCCTAGGTGGGGGTTCCAGCCTCAGAGACACTCAGTCTCTGGAAAGTAAAAACAAGATCCAGTAGCCACAACTGCCCATTAACTTTGAGTTAACAATGATTATAAACAGGTACCAGCTTTACGAGAAAGAAAGAAACAACCAGACTTCAGGTAACTCCTGATGAAAATACATCACACTCTCTATGGAGTAATCTTCCTAAAATATCAAATCTGAATCTATCAGGCCTCAAGATTTAACTGTCAATTCTCAGGAAAATAAGACAGAAGAACGTTTTGGGAGGAAGACCGCTCACAGACAAAACAATCCTAGAACACATGATGTCTAGAAAAGACTATATCTAGTATATATGACATGTAGTAAACAGAAAAGAAACGGATAAATAAGAAAATCCCATAAAGTGTAAGGAATCTAGTAATAGGAGATGTTTGGAAAACAACAAAGGGCATTAAAATATTACCAGTTAATTCCAGTTTCTGCATGAGTGGCTGTATGTAACTGGCAAAAGGAAAATCATTTCTACTCCTGTTCACTTGTGTCCGTAGGAATACAATCTGCAACATTCATGCTGTGGTAAACTCTATAAAACAAATACAGTTTCTCCAACAAATTGAGAAAAAAAATAGGAGGAAACCTATAGATTAAAGAAGATTTTAAAAGATCAACAATTGCAACATATGCACATTATGTAGATCCTGATTGAGACTGTAAGAAAACATTTATGAGACAACCATACAGATTTGAATCTTTACTTGATAAGTTTTCAGGTGTGACACTATATTGTTTTAAATAATCCCTACATTTTAGAGTAGGGATTTGCTGAAGAATTTGCTGATTAAATCATGTGAAATGATATTTGTTTTGTTTTGTTTTCCAAAAAATCCAATGGGGGCGAAGAATGAGGAATATGAATGAAGCAAAATTGGTCCTGAGTTAACGGTTGATGAAGTCAGGTAATGAGTACCTGGAGGTTCATTATGCTATTCTCTTGCTTTTTGTGTATTCTTGAAATTTTTTGTAAGAAAACGTTTGGTCTAAGTCTTGAAATCAAGACAATAATTTGCTTGTGTAAGACGTGAGGGTGCATAAAAAATGGAGGCCGAGCGCTGTGGCTCACGCCTGTAATCCTAGCACTTTGGGAGGCCGAGGCAGGCCGATCACGAAGCCTGGAGATCAAGACCATCCTGGCTAACATGGTGAAACCCCCTCTCTACTAAAAATACAAAAAATTAGCCGGGTGTGGTGGCACGCGCCGTAGTCCCAGCTACTCAGGAGACTGAGGCAGGAGAATCGCTTGAACCCGAGAGGCTGAGGTTGCAATGAGCCGAGATTACACCATTGCATTCCAGCCTGGGCGATAGAGCAAGGCTCTGTCTCAAAAAAAAAAAAAAAAAAAAAAAAAAAAATATATATATATATATATGTGTGTGTGTGTGTGTGTGTGTGTATGTATATATATACATATATGTGTGTGTGTATATGTGTGTGTATATATATATATACTGGAGTTCAGGAATTAAGATATTGTTTCTTAAATAATCTCTCCCTTCTAAAGTCAAAATTGAAGATCATTACTAGATTAGGATGATATTGTTAGATCTATAGTCTCAGCAGACGAAAATTTTAGAGACTTGATTCTGTACTACTCTGGAAGCTAAAACAGAACCTATAGTTTAGACATTATTGCAAGGAATAGACAGGGACTAAGGTGGCAATCTAACAACAAGACTGAGCAAATGAATGCGGGGCGTCTAACCTTTGTAACTTGCTCTCAGAAACATCTTGATAATTAAAGACTAAATCTGTTACAAATAGGGGCGTGTGTGCGTGTGTGTGTGTGTGTGTCTGTGTGTGTATGTTGACAGAAAGCATTAGTCTGTATCTTTTGTAGCAACTTCAGCTTTCCTGAACTTCATACTATATCTAAAAGGAGCAATGACTTTCAGTGAAAAGAGAATCCATAGTTAGCAGATGATTTGGATGCACGTGATTTTTATTTAATATTGATTGCATATTGGGGTTATATGTTTGGGATTTTTAGCTTTTAAATAGAGGATACATGGTGTTTTCAAAGTCAACATTGTGGATCATGAGAGGAACCTGGAAGAACAACTTCTGAATCAGCTGACACTGCGATCAAGAAGCCCAGGTACTACAGAACAGGAACAATCTGCCATGTGTGTTTACAACTTCAGAAAGCCCTGGAATGACAGTTGCCAGGGCAGTTCTTCTGAATTTGCAGGTCAGAATTAGTGGATGATGAATTTTTTTCACACATGGTCAACTCTGTGCCACCTGCTACAAGATGTTGGAACAGGTATATTTATTTATTTAATGATGATCAATGATTCTTCCAACATCAGGGAACATCAGGGAAATCAGCTAGTATATGCTCTTTTTGAGGATTTTCAGCTCCAAATCCTGAAAGCATTCATGAAACTACATAAATTACTTTTGTTAAGCAAATCATCATAAGTAAATCCAGTCATATGAATCTGGAAGGATTTGCTGGTGGGCACTAACACTGACCACATGTTTCAGTGTGGGCAAGTTTACCATCCATCACGGATTTTGTGCTTGGTGAATTGTAGGGAGTGAAAGAGAGAAGGATGTTTGGCCCAGTTGTCTTTTTTACCTATATCTGAAATTCTCACTTAGTCAAGAACAAAACATTTAGACATTTCATTTCCTTTTGGGGTTTTAGTGATACATGTTTAAAATTGTATATTTAGAGAAAATTGTTTTTATTATATATAATTTATAAATTCAGTGGAGAGACAAATTTATACTGAGAAAATATTTAATATGAAGTATAGTTGTCTCTCTCACACACACAGACAAACACAAACATATATATAGCATCTGAAACTCTGCAGAAAATGTTTCAACCCACTCCCACATTCACTTTGAAGGGAGTGAAATTTAGATAAGTAGGGAATAAAATTGATAATAGGGGAAATTTAAGAGCTGAGTATTTATTGATATGGTTTTCTAACACCCAGATCTAGCCCCCGGATCACATAAGCACTTTAAGTACATTAAAATTTCTATGCAAGTATGTGATCTAGCATTATCATTTGCCAAGGTGACACCCAGCTCATAGAGGAACCATAAATCTATCAAGTACAAAAGGATTAAACAATATCCTCAAATGCAAATCAAATTGGAGTCTAGGCTAAAGACTCATCATTTTCAGATCTATGTTTGGATTACTTTCATTATTTGCCATTTAATTAATTTCTCTATATTCTTCTATCTCCTAATGTAGTCTGAGGTGCGCATCATATTGCCCTTTTTGTAACAAGAAGGATTATCCCAGTTTTGAAAACTATGACATAAGTAAAGGAAAACCAAATGATCAAAAAAAAAAAAAAAAGAAAAAATATTTGTCTGCTTCTCCTTGACATGTCATAGAAAAGGTAAAATAACAAAATAATAGGATAAAATTTCTAAAACAATAATAACTATTAGTTATGAGTTAAAATGTTGTTCATTTGATGCCTGTAGTGTTTGGTTTAAATTTTCATTTCACTGTTGCCTTTAAAGTTAGACTGTAAACAAATACCTTAATAAAGCAACCAGGAGACTGTGACTTGTGTTTTGGTAGTAATTATATATTCCCACCAGATGGCAGTCTTCCCTGGCTCTTGGCAACTACCTTTCAGAGTGTAGCTACTCCTGGCTGAGGAAGCAGTGTCATTATATCTATGCACTTAGTTTGAATATGGGAAATCTGCCAGGATTTCATGGCTTTAGGATTAAATGTCTGTCATTTGAAAAGAGACTTCCATGGACAGAGGTTTTTATTTTTTCAAGTCATACATATATCTTCAGGACAAAGGCTATTTACATAAACTCCAGGCTTAAGTTGAGCCTCTCAAGATCACAGTTGGCACCTTTTCTTGATGCTCAGGACTCCAAGAGGCTGGTAAATGCACTAGTGAATGTTTCAGAGTATTGTGTTTCTTAAAGCAGAGCCAAGTAAGTATTCAAATGCCACCCATATCTCAAGTATTCTCATCTAATCTTAGCTCCTGGAATATTTACTTAAAACATTTTCATTTTCTTGGCAAAGAGCTATGTAAATACATTTAATTTTACCTTTTTTAATACATATTTCCCTGAGATCTTGCCTAACATGTTATATTTGAGGATTTTACTCACTACATGGGCACAAATATATCATAAACTAATTCAAGAATAAAAATCTTATCACAATGATGAGTGACATTTGCATTCAGGAGTCATAAACAACTGAGAATTAATCAACTCCCTCTTTACTACTAGAGAGAACCTTAATGTGTTTTTTAACTTATTTTTAATTTGTACCTCTAACAAATTCATACCCCTGACATGGATCAGTATTAGTGGATGGCTTTTTCAAGACAGGAATTCACATAATCTTAGATACTGTTTATACTTTATACAACGTGCTTGTGCAGGGAAAAGGGCGGGGCTTTAGGGAAAGAGACTTCAAGGAAGGGCATGATGGTGACTCAGGGAGATACATCTGGAGTGGGCCTCTATCCTTCTTACCTTGGTTTTGTTCTACTTATAACTAATAGAAGCATGAGCTGTTGAACAAAGCTACGGGTAAATCCTACCCTGGCCTAAGGTCTCATTCTCTCCCCTCACTCCCACTCAATAATATAGTATGCTGTAATTCTAGAGGGTATAAGCCATTTTAATATGCATAATATAAAGCAAGAATTCAGTATAAATTTAAGTAAAAAAATACTCATTACCCAGAGCAAAATTCACTGTGATCCACAGAGAATCAGACTGTAATCCAATTGCCAAATAATGTAGCATATGTGGATACAATCATGCATAGAAAAGGAATATTTTCTATGGCTGGAGAATTTGAGGCCAAATTATTTAGGCAAACAAAGCAACATGGAAAGGCCTTAGTGTGGTTTAGGGCAGTTGAAACTGAGAAAGTTCTATCTTATTACAATAGCAAAGAGTTACAAGGTTTTTCATATACAACTAGAGTTGTCAATTTAACTTCTCTAACTCCTCTATAACTCCATTGCTATTGCCCACATTGTAAATTCCAGACTACTACCTACGACCTTGACGATTATTCTGCAACTCCATTTCACCCCTCCCCTTCTATGCTTTGCTTTGTAATTCCCTGAGTAAGCCCTGACTTTGCTTATTTTCAAGTCTGTCTGGCTAGATGGTGTGCTCTTGGAAGTCTTTCTACTTGATAACCTTGGAAATTTCCGTTTAGCCCTTGAGACATAAGTGGTGAATTAATCAGTTAAATAACTCATGAGAGGTTTTCTGTCTAGGACATTTCTGTACAATTTCAAAATGCCTGGAATATATATAAATATTCATATTGATATGAACCGCTATGTCCATAGCTGATAATTCCAAGTTAATTCCTTGGTAAGTCCGGTGTATTATATTAGTTTCCTAGGGCTGTTATAGCCAATTACCACAAACAGGGTGGCCTAATTAAAAATATATATATTCTTTAAAAGTTCTGGAGGTCAGAAGTTTGGTATTCCTTTGCTCATGGCTGCACCATTGCAAGCCCTGTCTTCATCTTCACATTGACTTTTCTGTGCTTGTGTGCATCTAAACTCCCTCAGCCTCTCTCTTCTAAGAATATTGTGATGGCATTCACAGTCCACCCACCACTCCATGACAAACACCCCTTCTCAAGATCCTTAATCACATGTTTTGCCATATAAAAGAATATTCAAGAAGAGTCAAAAGAGAAGCATTTGGGAACTAGGTCAGAAAGTGAATAAGAAGCCCAAGATAAAAAATGAATTTCAATTCCAAGGAACAAAGAGTTGAGAGAGAGACAGAGAGCAAGAGTGAAGAAATTATGGGAAAAAAAATAAGAAATTATTTCTAGGCCAGGCCCAGTGGCTCACACTTGTAATCCCAGCACTTTGGGAGGCCAAGGCAGGCGGATAACGAGGTCAGGAGATTGAGACCATCCTGGCTAAAGTAGACCATCTCTACTAAAAATACAAAAAATTAGCCGGGTGTGGTGGCGGGCGCCTGTAGTCGCAGCTGCTAGGGAGGCTGAGGCAGGAGAATGGTGTGAACCCGGGAGGCGAGCTTACTGTGAGCCGAGATAGCACCACTGCACGCTAGCCTGGGCGACAGAGCGAGACTCCTTCTCGTAAAAAGAAGAAAAAGAAAAAGGAAAGAAATTATTTCCAGCTGCCTTTGAGGGCTCAGAATAAATGAAGAACCAGCCAGTTGGGAGGAGGAGGTGATCATGTGAAACAGAGTAGCCTATTTAATGCTGTACCGTAACAAATCGTGGCAAGCATGTCACTTAAATGAGATTTGGTATGAATCCGCAATTTGCTACTTTTCTGATATTCCTGTCTAAGGTTCCACTATGAATAGTCAAAAATACAGAGTGGTTCTTAATACCATTAACTGCAGGGCTGACATTCGCTGGCGTGCACTGTTGAAGAGCAGACATGCATCCATTCTCAATAACTGGGCTCTGATTGGCCAGTGCCCATGTCAATTTTCTCCAGAATCATCTCTGGCTGTACCCACGGGCATGTAAGGACAGGGTTGGAAAAGAGCCATTGGAGAAGAGAGCCCTGGACCTTGAGGTAGAAATAATTCTCCCCTGATTCCTCCAGGGAAAGAAGGAGGAAATTAATTAGAGCAGTGGCAACAGGAACCTAATTGATTTTTTTTTCCTGCTTTGTAGGTCTTTTCTGGGCAGGTGGGAACAAAGGACATTTAAAATCATTTAAAATCCCCGTGAAATTAAGTGCTGGAAACTCAAACACCTTCAGAGCCCATGAAGCAGGACTCAAGATAGAGAATGGAGAAAAAACTAAGGATCATATTTGTGACTGATTCTATGGCTGAAGTTACCCGTTTGTGACCCCTGGTAGATAGCCTCTAGTGGATTTAAATGTTGCTAAAAAAAACTTTATTGGATGTAAAATTCAAACTGTGATTATTTTTAAAATGCAACAAATGTGATTTAATCAAACTCAACTGCATAGTCAGTCCAACTGGTTCTCCTGAAAGTGGTTCTTAACTGGCCTGAAACTTCCCAATGTCATCAAAAAGGGTGACCATATATAAGTCCAGGCTTGTTTTGCTGACATGCTTTGGACGACATGAGAACGTAAATAACGGCCATTTTTTTCTTTAGCTATCCGAAAATAAAGCTAGTATGTGCTTACAAATAGCTGTGGAGAAGAAGAGAATTTATATATTCAAGCAATCTGTGATGAACATAGCATTATACCTCCAGAGAGCATTTACGAGTCACTAGAACTCCGCTATATAAACTATAAACCACTTACTACTATCTTTTCTTAAGTAAAAAGAAATAAAAATTTAGGGGACATTTTGTGACATATATTTTTTATATTACCAGTAAGTGCTCTAAAATTCAAAAAGCTTCTTAAAAATTTTGCTCTTGTAATAATGTTTGAAAATATTTCCACTTCTCTCTTACCCTCCATCATACACAGAGAAACATTTGCACATTTACTTCCCCACACCTGAAAAGTACTTAAATTTTATAGATAACATCTATTAGAACCCAGTAAAACCCTACAAATACTGTAGCTCTGTAGGAAATTCTGTTTTAAATATTCAAACATAGTATCCAACTTTACTATTTCTCAGCAAATATGTGGTTTATAGGCACAGAAGCAGCAAAAGCTAGCAGTTCACAACCCATAAGTTATAAACCTATGCGTAAGCTTACCATTTCCTTTAAACTTGATGTTAAGTTTTCTGGTGCATTTTCAATAACTTTTAAGGGTCAAATAATGGTGTGTACCTCATTTAAAATTAAATAATTATTTTTATTTTTCTTGATGTCTCTTCTGATCTTGAAAATAGCTGATAGAACAGCATTGTTTGATGTTGCTTATCAAATTTTATTTGCAATATTATAGACTTAGAATCATAGAAGGAGGAAAAAATTGCTAGATATATTATGTACCACACTCCATAACAAAATAAAGATGCAAAAATAAACCAAAGGAGGAGAATAAACCGACTAAGGATATATGACAGCTTCAGAATGAATTAAGGTTTGAAGCACACAAAAATCCAGACGCACAGCAGAAAGTGTTCAACTAGGTATTTAGAAACTTTGATTTCTTCAGTTATCTAAGTGACCTGTGGAAGTCATTTATGGTTACACTGCCTTTCAGTAAATCCTTTGCTGCATCAGCTTATTCTCATAACAGAGATCAAATTAATTTCTTAATCTGCAATATAAGAGTAACAGCTACTGGCTGGCCAAAATAATGGGTCAAGGTTACATGAGGCTGCTCAGGCTAGATATAAGAGAAGGAACCATTAAAATCCATTAGGTGACAGTTGGTCCCAAGCAACTGGCAGTAGCGAAAATGATAAAAGATATTGCTACAGAACAAGTGAAAACAATTTAAACACATTCTAGGTGGAACAGTCAAGAGGATCACATGAAATACAGGGAGAGTGGGCAAGGAGGATATGAGCCATTGTGGAAAACAGTATGAAGGTCTGTCAAGAAATTAAACACAGAATCACCAGGCTGAGTATGGTGGCTCACACCTGTAATCCCAGCAATTTGAGAGGCTGAGGTAGGCAGATCACCTGATGTCAGGAGTTTTGAGGACAGCCTGGCCAACATGGTGAAACCCCGTCTCTATCAAAAAATGCAAAAAGATTAGCTGGGCATGGTGGTGTGTGCCTGTAGTCCCAGCTACTTGGGAGGCTGAGGCAAGAGAATCACTTGAACCCAGGAGGCAGAGGTTGCAGTGAGCGGAGATCATGCCACTGCACTCCAGCCTGAGTGACAGAGTGAGACTCTGCTTAAAAAAAAAAAAAAACAAACAAAAAAACAAACAAAAAAACAAAAAAACAAAACAAAACAAAGATAGAATCACCAAATGATGTAGTAACTCTGCTTCTGCTTATGTATATTTAAAAAAAACCTAAAAGCAGAGACTCTAACAGATATTTGTAACTAATGTTCACAGTAGTATTATTCACAACAGCTAAAATGTGGAAGCAACCCAAATGACCATTCATGGATGAATGGATAAACAAAATATTTTACATAGATACAATGGGATATTATTCAGACTTAAAAAGGAAAGTAATTCTAACACATGCTACAACATGAATGAACCCTAAAGACATTATAGTAAGTGAAATACACCAGACACAAAAGGTCAAAGATTGTTATGATGTCACTTACATGAGATACCTAGAGTAGTCAAATTCATAGAGATGGAAAGTAGAATGGTGGTTGTCAGGGGCTGGGGGTGGGGGAGAAATAAAAAGTTATTATTTAAGGGGTACAGATTTTAGTTTGGGAAGATAAAAATGTTCTGGAGATGGAGATGGTGGTGATGGTTCCATAACAATGTGAATGGCCTTAATACACTGTAACTGTATACCTTTAAATATTGTTAAAATGGTAGAAATTTGTATTATGTATATTTTACCATGAATAAAAAAGAATATGAAGAATATTCCTTCTTGGATTTTGCAAAAATCATTTATTAAAAAGACCAACATATAGAAGAATAAATTATTTTAGAAATAATATATAGCACATAAAAGGTGATTCATTAAAGAAAGGTGAGAGAGAAAATGGGCTATTCTCCTGAGAAGGGCAAGCAACCTAATAAGAAATTGGTCCAAAGAACACCAAAAGGCAAAAACATCACTAGGTGACTGTCTTGTCCAGGTTAAAATAATGATATCTCAGATACAGTGATGGTTTTGCATTAGAGCCCCTTAATTTTATCACTTGACTGCTACTCTTCTGGGCATAAAACATGCCAGATACGAAGCCTAAGCCTAGGAAAATGCCATCACCCTCAATTTTTCTCCCACGCAAAGCCAAGTTAAATGAAAAAGTCTGCTTGACATTCAGAAATTTACAGATGTGAATGAAATGAAGGGAGAAAGTTCATTTAGAAATATGACTGGTGTTTAAGGGGAGTAAGAGAATGAGATCTCTGGAAAAAGAGTAAGACAGAATGGTGATGTTCAGAGGATACACCATTCAGTCCTTAAATGTAATGGGAGTATAAAGGGTTTCTTAGGATAGAGTCTTTTAAGAAAAATGTACAAGTGGTTTTTTAGTTGCTATGGTATTAGCTTTGCAGGCAGATGCTGAATTCAAACAAAACTATAGACATCTTATTGTGCCCCCAGGCTGCTTCACATATGTGTGATGATGAAAAGGATGATGATTAAAACAAATTCTTTTATAAATCTTATCCCAAATTCCTGAGGTACACAATGCATCATAAATGCGAATCATTTATTAGGAATTATTTCTGTTGAATACAATATATAAATAGTAAAAAGCAAGTCTGTTTTTCTAGTCATTTCCATGTTATGACTACAGGTATTTCCCTAGGTTAAAGTGCGACTCACTAATTTTACTTTGAACAATAAAATATATTATCCTTTAAAATGTTTTTTGTCTAGGAAAAGTAGATAGTAAAGACAAAAAACTGAAATCTGGAAATAAGACTTTTATTAAGTATTGAATAAATGTTGACCAAATTTTCAACATCTGGTATCAGGTACAAGGATCAGTGTTGACCCTAGAACAGACTGTTTATTGACTGCACCAGGAAATTATTCTCCAGTGAGTTGCAGAATCTTCAACTGTCTTTATTGGGTTTACCAGAGTCTGGCCACTTTGTTCAGGATGTTAAAGAGGGGTTTATTCTTTGGAAATTTTTGGTGGAAACAACATGTGTCTTTTATAGTCTCTTCTTGATCATTTTGTCTCTGTCAATTCCTCAGCCTCTCTTAATATCCTTATGTTACCCCCAGGCTCTTCATACTGCATCACCTCCAAGAAATGTACAATTGAAAATAATGAGTGAAGACTAACAGTGACATCTGCACTTCCATGTTCATTGCAGCATTATTCACAATAGTCAGATTGGGGGACAATCCATATGTCCATCGACAGAAGAATTAAGAAAGAAAATGGGATATATTCATACAATGAAATATTATTCAGCCTTTAAAAAGAAGGAAATCTTATCATTTGTGACAACATGGATGGACCTGGAAGGCATCACACTTAATGAAATAAGTCAGTCACAGAAGGACAAATACTGCATGATTCCACTTACATGAGGTATCTAAAATGGTCAAACTTGTGAAAACAAGAAAAAGAATACTGATTGCAAGGGGATAAGAGGAGACATGAGGTGTTCTTGTTCAATGAATATAAAGTTACAGTCATGCAAGATGGGTAAATTATAGATATATGCTCTACAATATAGTGCCTGTGGTTAACGATACAATCCTGTGCATTTACAGATTTAAAAGGGTAGATCCCATGTCAAGTGTACTTACACACACATACACACACACACACACACATTAGCAAAAAGATTCAAGGAGACTTTTGGAGGTGATGAATATGTTTATCACCTTGATTGAGATATAATTGTAATATCAAGGGTGTTTACTTATGTATATCCAGACTCTTCAAATGGTATACCTTAAATATGTACAGTTTTATTGTATATCAATTATATCTCAAAAAAGTTGCCAAAAGAAAAAAGAAATGAAACAATGGAACTTATGTCAACATGGCTCCTGAGCTTAGAGATATTTAAACAATACTCTCTTTAATGCCACAAAACAATCAGACAAGTTGATACAAATCTAACTTTGAGGACCTTAAATTATTTCCCAACCCTTATGGAAAGCATTTTGAAAATGTGTTTCAAGGACTTTAAATATGACTGAACACTTGACCAATAATTCTACTGGTGGAAAATATGCCTAAGCAATTAATCTTAAATCTAAAATGCTTTATAGAGAAAAATTAGAAACAACCATTAAATTGACAATCAAAATGCCCAAATAATGCAGAATAGGGAAATTGTGGTGAATTCATAAGGTAGATACTTAAAGACATCAAAAAAGTTGACATATGATGTTTATAAATATCTTTATGCTATAATTTTACATGGAAAGAGCAAATAACAGTATGGATATGGCATTACAATGTACCTGTACTACGATATCAAACTACAAGTACTGGTCTGTTGCTATCAACATAATATATTGGTATTATGCCCTGTGGGTGAATTTGGGGTCCAGTTCTATTTCAACATATTTAACTATGTTCTCTTTAGTGCAATGGAAAAAAATTTGTGAGACTATAGGTTGTTTCCTGACAGAAAGATGAGTGAAATAACATCCACACCAGTTCAATCTTCTATCATTAGTCTTTATTTTTGTTTTTTGTTTTAGTTCTGTAATTGTGGAACACAGATAATTAGCTAATTGCTATACATGTTCAAAAATCTGGTTACTCTACAGAATATGTGCACTCACAAAAGACCTGCTTGGTTTCTATTAAGGTGAGAATCATACCTGTGAATTCTCTTGCTTTGAAGAATTTAACACATTATGTTTACTTAAAGGGAAAAGTTTTTAACTTATTGTTTAAACCTATTCTCCTTGATTTATAAATATGAGTAGAATTCTCAAAGATTATTCATACTACTAGAATAAGCTTTAGAGCATAAATTGTTTGATATTAGTACGCATGTTTAGAACATTGAAACTATTTGTTTCCAACTCAGTTTATACCCAGCTATTTCTCCTCGTCTTCCCAAGTATTTCTTTGACTTGTTCTACTTCCAAGGAATAATTATCTATTATATAACATTAAGTTTGAAAGAAAACCCAAAATATTAATGGCTTAATGAAGATATTCAATTTCTGTTTCACTGAAAAATATAATAGAGGTAGGCTGTCCAGGGTAAGCTGCAAGAGATGCTGTGAAAGACAGTATTTATGCTAGAAGCCATACCCTAAAAATCAGGGATTCTATACTACTAAGGAGGAAGCAAAGAACAATTAGGAAACTATTAGCAATCTGCCACACAGACACTGCTCTTTACTATATTCCTATAGTATCTAGCACAGTGCTTTGCACAAAATAAATGCACAAGAAATATTTGATTAATATTAACTTTAAAATTTAATTCAACTGAGTTAAGATTATTCAATCACAAATTTGGTAATATGATCTAGTTATTTATATCAAGTAACAAATCAACGATGTGCTAAAAGATTTAACAAGGGTACACTATATATTGTTATTGTTTTTAATACTAAAAAATTAGATTAGAAACAATAAATGATGAATAAGATTGATTATATATTCAATATAGATTTGTTATACATATATTTTATTTTATATTGTAGAGATCTATAATTATATATTATTATATAATTATATTATATATAATTATATATTATTATATAATTATATTATATATAATTATATATTATTATATAATTATATTATATATAATTATATATTATTATATAATTATATTATATATAATTATATATTATTATATAATTATATTATATATAATTATATATTATTATATAATTATATTATATATAATTATATATAGATATCTATAATTATATTATATATAATTATATATAGATATCTATAATTATATTATATATAATTATATATAGATATCTATAATTATATTATATATAATTATATATAGATATAATTATAGATATCTATAATTATATTATATATAATTGTATATAGATATCTATAATTATATTATATATAATTATATATAGATATCTATAATTATATTATATATAATTGTATATAGATATCTATAATTATATTATATATAATTATAGATATCTATAATTACAGATATCTATCATATCTGCATATTATATTATATGCACATTATATGCATATTATAGCTATCTATAATTATAGCTATCTCTATATTACATATAGAGATATCTATCTGTTAATGGTATATAATTATAAATATCTATATCTATATAATATATAGATACAATTATAGATATATAATATAATATTATATTATATATTATAGATATAGATTTATCATATATTATAGATGTAGATATGAATTATAGATATATTTACAACATATCTATAAAATTTATTATGCCTAGACAATGTTAAATTTATATTAAAGTAATTGAAAAGAGTGAATTACAAATCAGATTGAGCAGAGGGAAAGAAACTGAAAGAAGATTCATCAAAATTGTTAAGGTAATTAACCATCTATTGAATTACAGGGAAGTTTATGTTCATGTTTGTTTATCCTTTTAAAAAATCTTTTCCCATGATAATCATTTTTGCATAAAAGACTACTCATAAGATAAAGTTATTTTTAAAAATATAGTGGGATAATATGTAATGTTAGCATCAAAAGAAGATAGTGTTCATAATTCACACTAAATATTCTTCACAGGCCAGCCAAAGGATATTTAACTGACATAATAAATCTGTATCTTACTTTCATTTATTATGTGTGTTTCCCTGATTTTCTCCCATTCTCTTTTAGACTTTTCTTTTTTTCTGAAACATCCTTACAACACACACATACACTTTTGCACAAAAAGCAAGTTAACTGTAAATGAAGAAAGGAATAAAAGAATAAACTTCCAAGGAAACCATAACAACTGTTGAAAATGAAAATGGTCTCAAAAAATGTTACATGTTATGAAGATAGCACATGCAAGAAGACACTCAATTTTTTCCACTTTGTTTTTTGCAATTAGCAATGATGCTGAAGTGGAGCTAATGGCTGGCAGAATCTGCTGCTGTTAGGACAATAGCTTGCCTCTATTAGGTGGGTTACATCCATTTGAGTTTATTCACTTGAAGAATGCCATTTTCTGTTGCTATAACAGTACCTGAGACTGGATAATTTAGAAAGGAGAGAGTTTTATTCTGGCTCATGGTTCAGGAGTCTGGGAAGTCTAAAAACGAGTGGCTGCATCTGGTCAGCTTCTGGTGATGGCTTCATGCTGTGGCAAAACATGGAGAAGAAGTGGAAAGGGGGAAGTGGGCACGTGTGAAAAGGGGCAAAACACCAGAGGTAGTCTCACTTTATAACAATCCACTCTCACTGCAACTAATCCAGTCCCATGAGATCAAGAACTCACTCACTCTTAAGAAAATTAACCCAGTCCTGCAAGAGCAGTAGTACTTCCTCTTAATGACCTAATCACCTCTTAAAGTCTCCACCTCCTAATACCATCACACCAGAGATGAAACTTCCAACACATGAATACTGGAGGAGACAGTTAAATCGTAACAAAGGCTCTGCTTTACCAACACACATACTCAAGATCTGATAGCCAAATGGAGGTATCATGAATACTTTAGCAAAATGGGAATCAAAAAACAAGACTTTAAAGTTTTTAATCTCAGTTCTGTTACCACTACTACAAAACCTTGAGAAAGTCACAATCTCTCAGAAACTCAATTTCCAGGTTAACCTATAATAATATAATTATATACTATTTAGATGCTTTATTGAGTTAAAATTTGATATTCATACCTCAAATTATTTAATAGTGAAAGCAGCCCTGGATTAAAAGCCAGAAGATGTGAGCACCCATCTTAGTTCCATTCTGAACTTTTATTGATATTAGATTAGACAGTGTGTCAGGAACTCACAGTATATCTATAAATGAGGGAGTGGGATAAGATGAACTTTAAGGTCTCATTTAGTTTAACATTCCACAATTCTTCATGAATGGCCTCTATAACAATTTTGTATGCCAGAATATTGCCTTTGGCAAAAATCTCATAGTAAAACTTGATTCAGCCATGAGGATATTATGCCTTTTGGATCTAGAGCTCTCTGTATGGTGAAAGCTATTTTTCTTTTATCTGAAAAAGCCGCTTATTGTTACAGCTATGGCCTTCAGAGTATAACTTCCTTTGTATACATTTTTCAAATCTGACAAGTGCATAAAGATATGTGGTGATTATAAACTGACTGTAAGCAAAGAAACTGAGCTCAATATTTATTAAAACCACAGGATTGATGCTTTCTATGTCACGTTAGCGGGGAAGGAAAGTCTTCATGAAACCAGATATGAAGTATTGCACATCAGCAGCTTATTTTGAAAGAAAATTTGGAGCAGAAAAGAATGGTCATATTTATTTTTAAAAATGTTCTATCACATTTTCATTTCTCCTTTACAATTTTTGCTGTGTGTGCTGTATGCCTTCATAGGATGTGGCATCCCTAATGTAACAGTAAACTTACAGGTAAGTCTGAAATAGATGCTATGACAGGGCCAGTGACTTTTTAGAGAATTTGTGAAAGGTGGTGAAGACCCCAATTAAATAATCTTATTCTATAAGACCCTGACAAATCATTACTGGGCCATAGGGTTAAGTGTTTCTGGACCTTACTAGATTGAAGATGAAGTTTAAGCCATAAAACAGGCCTTATCTCCTGGACATATAGCTGAACTGAAAGTTTATTAGAGCAAAATACATCCTAGAGAATTACTGCTAGCTCCATTGACCACAAAAACACCATGTCATGAGTTTTATAGAATATAGGAGTAGATTAGGATTTTCGAGTAGAACAAGGTATTAATAGACAGGCACTTTGCTTGATCTTTTCTCAGGAATTAATAAAAAGTCATTCCTAACCACTGCTCATTTCTGTATAGAATGGGGACACTGCATCCTAGATCAATTAGAAAGGCTTATCAGACATACTCTAACAAATTAAATGTCAATGGATTCATTATAATCATTGTTATTACAGAGGCATTATCACACCTCTGTGCAGGTCTCAATCAACTAACTTTGTTGTACCTAGGTTGTAATGAGAAGGCTGTCCTTACAGAAGTGAGAAAAATTACTGATATTTCTACTCTAATTAATAACATATTCTGGCCACCTGTGGCTGAGAAAAGATATTTTCCCTTGAGTGCAACAAAAAACAAGAAAATGATATGGTTTGCATTTCATTTTATTGAGTCAGGCATGTTTTTTTTTCATCGTCTTGGCCTATAAGTAAAATGTCCCCTCATGTAGACATTACAAGCACTGATTTCATTTATTTTTATACATATCTCATACAATATGTTGTATGATCAATTTGAAAAAGAAAACACGAACCAACTCACTAATTATAGGCACAGTTTAATCCATGCCTGATCATAAATTTGAAGCCAGGAAGTCAATGCATTATTAATACAAGAGCTATTTTTTTTAGTAAAGGTATGTATTTGGATTCCATAACAATGGCACAAAACATAGTCAAACTAGAACTTTTTACCTGATTTAAGACAGCAAAAATCTGCTTGTTCTAACACTGACTACATAATTGCTGATGCAATTTTAAATTAATAGTTCAAGGTTTTGAGAACATTAAAGTAGAATAAAGAAGCTGCTTAAACAAGAGAAAATCCTTGTGACATATAAAAGAACATTCATAAGACTATCAGTGGATTTCTTAGCAGAAACCCTACAGGCCAGGAGAGTAAGATTATATATTCCAAGTGCTGAAAACATTGTCAGCCAAGAATATTTCACCAGGAAAAGCTGCCCTTCAGGAAAAAAAAGAAATACTTTCCCAGGCAAACAAAAGTTGAGAGATCTTATCATCTCTCGACCTTACAAGACATACTGAAGGGAAGTATTCAAGGTGAAATGAAAGAATGCTAATTAGCAACATGAAAATATGACAGTATTAAACTCACTGGTAAAGGTAAGGGTATAGTCAAATCTAAAATATTTATGTTACAGTGGAGGTACACGAATAACTTTTAACTCTTGTATAAAAGTTAAAAAACAAAAGTATTAAAAGTAACTATAGCTATAATAAATTGTTAATAGAAACACAGAATGAAAGTCATAAATAGTGACATCAATAACATAAAATGTGTGTCGGGGGAAGAAGTAAAAATGTAGAGTTTTTCTTTGTGATCAAACTTCGTTGTTATCAGCTTAAAATAGACTGTTATAACTACAAGATCTTTTACGTAAGTCTCATAGTAATAACAAAGAAAAACCTTTAGCAGATACACAAAAATAAAGAGAAAGGAAGGAAAGCATCTTACTATAAAAATAATCAATCACAAAGAAAGGCAGATCAAAGGAATAGAAGAACTCACTTCAGCTTTAAGGACAAAGTGAAGTAATCAAAGAAAGATATTCCATGCAAACAGTAACCAAAAGAATGTAGAAGTGGTGGCAATACTTTATATGAGACAAAACAGACTTTAAGTCAAAAATTATCACAGGAGACAAAGAAGACCATCAATAAAAATAAAAGTGTAAATTTATTGAGAGATTATAACAATTGTAAATATACATGCACCCAACATCTGAGCACCTAACTATATAAAACAAATACTGAACTATATAAAAAAGAACAGAACTGAAGGGATAAATAGACAACAATACACTAATGTTAGGGGACTCTAATACTGCACTTTCAACAATGGATTTATTATCCAGACAGAAAATCAGTAAGAGAATAGTGAACTGAAACAACTATAGACCAAAATGATCTAACAGTAATATTCAGAACCTTCCATCCAACAGCAGCAAAATATGTATTTTTCACAATCACACATGTATCATTCTCCAAAATAGGTCATATATTAGACCACAAAACAAGTCTTAATAAATTTAAGAAGATTGACATCATATCAGGTATCTTCTTTAATCACAATGGTATGAAATTAGAAACAAGAAGATTAAATGGACCACTATTGAACAGCCAATAGGTCAGAAAAGAAATCAAAAGGGATATCAAAACGTGTCTTGGGACAAACAAAAATGAAAACACAACATATCCAAACTTATAGGATGCAGCAAAAGCCATTCTAAAAGGAAAAGTTATCACAGTAAATACCTACATTAAAAAAGAGAAAGATTTGCATATACAACCTAAATTTACACCTCGAGGAACTAGAAAAGAAGAATAAGACAAGCCCAAAGTTAACAGAGGGGAGGAAATGAATTAGAACAGAAATAAATAAAATAGAGACAAAAAAGTAGGAAAGAGTAATGAAACGAAGAGTTTTTTTTTTTTTTGGAAAAATAAAATTAGCAAACCTTTAGCTAGAGTAACTAAGAAAAAAGAAGACTCAAATAAAAATAAATATAAATTAAAGAGAGAGCATTACAAGTGATACCACAAAAATACAAAAGATCACAATGGACTATGATGAACAAATATACACCAACATATTGGTAAACCAAGAAGAAAGAGATTTATTCCTAGAGACATCAAATTTATGCTTGCCCTCCTAGAAACATGCAAACTACCAAGACCCAATCATGAAGAAAATAGAAAACTTGAGCCAACCAATTATGAGTAAGAAGATTGAATTAGTAATCAAAACCTCTCAACAAAGAAATGTCTAGGACCTGAAGGCTTTACTGGTGAATTTTACCAAACATTTAAAGAAAAATGAACACCAATTCTTCTCAAACTCTTCTAAAAAATTAAAGAGAAAGAAATATTTTCAAACTTATTTTACAAGACCAGTATTACTCTGTTACCAAAGTCAGACAAGAACCCAAAAAATAGAAAACCACAGGCCAATATACCTGATAAGTGTAAAAATTGTCAACAAAATATTAGCAAACCGAATTCAATAACATATTTTAAAAATCATTCACTATGAGCAAGATTTTCCCCTGGCATGCAAGGATGCTTCAACATATGCAAATCAATAAATATGATACACCACATTAATGGAATGATGATTAAAAATCACATAATCATCTCCATAGATTCAGAAAAGCATTTGCCAAAATCTAACATCCCATCATGATTTAAAAAACTCATTAATTAGGTGTAAAAGGAACATACCTCAATATAATACAGATCACATATGACAAGCCCACAGCTAACATCATACTCAAGAGTAAAAAGCTGAAAGCTTTTCTTCTAAGATCAAGAACAGGGACTGTAAAGACTCCATTAAAACACTGTTAGAACTAGTAAATAAATTCAGTAAATACGTGGATACAAAATCAATATACAAAAATCAATCTCATTTCTATACACTAGCAATGAGCTTTCTGAAATAGAAATTAATAAAACAATCCCTCTTACAATAGCATCAAAAATAATAAAAATACTTAAGAATAAAATTAACCAAGTATGTGAAAGATCTGTACACTAAAATCTATAAAGCATTATTGAAAGACATTGACAAAGGCAAAAATAAATTAAAAGATATCTACATTAATGTATTAGAAGAAATAGAAGAAAGTTTTCACAGAAATAGAAAAAAAGCAATCCTAAAATTTATATGGAAGCACAAATGACCCTGAAAAGCTAAATCAATCTTGTAAAGGAAAAACAAAGCTGTTAACAAAACATTTTAACATATATGTTTTGGAATATAATAGAATATAGACTATAATAGAATGTTGATTGCCAGGGGCTGATGGGAGGGTGAAGTGGGGAGGTGGTGGTCAAAGGATACAAAGTTTCATTTTGCAAGTTATGTTCTGAAGGTCTACTGTACAACATAGTGCCTATAGCTAACAACACTGTATTCTTATATTTAAAAATTTCTAAGAGGATAGATCTTATAATAATAATAACAACAATAAATGATGATGATGATGATGATAATAATAATATAGAGGCCAGAAGAAACTTTGGGAAGTGACAAATATATATCTATGGCCTTAATGGTGGTGATGGTTTTATGGGTTTATACTTATCCTCAACTCATTGAGCTGTATACATTGAATATGTGCAGATTTTTACATGTCAATCATACCTCAATAAATTATCTTAAAGAAGTTGCTTAATATTTATTTCACATTTTTTAAATGCTTTACAAAACATACATTATACAAGTAGTCACAACTTACAAAAGGGTTGTATTTCTACATTTGGATAAAGGGCTTTTGGAGACTTTTTCTACAAAGCATTCTCAACCATGTGTCTAGGTTTCCAGCCTCTTCCACAGCAGTTGCTTTAATGTAGCTGAGCTTTAACACAAATAATATTTTCAAACGAACTCATATTTAGTACATAATTCTTATGGTCAAATTGTGAAATATGTTTACAGTTGAAACTCAGGCTGCTGTGGCCTGATGATACTGTGATGGACCCAGATTCTTACTCTCTCACCACTCTGCCATTCTTGGCATGACAGTTTTGTCCATTGGTCAATTCCTCTCATAGTCACAAGATTGCTACCAGAAACAACTCAGCAAAATGCTTCTTTGATCATATACACTGGAACACAGGGAAACTCTCCCTCGATGAAATAATATAATTTCCTCCATTCGGTTTCACAGGGCAAACTTGGATCATGTGCTCATCTTCAAACTAATAATAGTTGTTAGGGAATTGCCTTAAATTAATGAGAAAATAACCCTAAGAGTCATGATAGAGGTATAAAAAAGAGGAGTTAATATAAGGAAAAAGGAGGACAGCAATGCATTCTGGGTATCAGGCTACAAAGAGATTTGGGGACAGCAGTGGAGACAATAAAAACAGATGAGCAAAGGGTGAATGGTGGCAACGGTTCAATGAATAAACTGTCTATAAATTATCTATTGATCATTTAATGGATATTCATAATATTCACACAAAATATGTACAGAAGGTTGCATTTCTAGAAATTATTGCAATGCATTGGAGAACTTTCCCAAGAAATCAGACAAGAATTAGCATAAAGCTCCGTCACATTCATTCTTTTTTTTTTAAACCCTCCTTTAAAAACTATTTGGCAGCTTATTATTAGGGTAAATTCTTTAAATAAAAATCTTGGTCTGCTGTATACAAGGCATCTTTTTTTGAAAACCGCCAGCATCTACAGAACACGTGTTCCAAAATAATATAATGCTCTTGCACTATATCTAGCTTTAGTGTCATCATCATAGATTAGATTTGAAGACAAAATTGGTGGCTACAGCCCATGCTAGGCATTGAATCCCTGTATTTAAAAAATGCTTAAATACTTTTAAATTAAAAGTTCTTGTTAGGGATTGGTTAGTTTGGCTTCCCAGCCTAAAGAAGCTTTGGATTTCTGCTGAGAAAACAACAGAAGAATCAATGAACAAGAATTGTGAAGCTTCCAATAAAATGGTTAACATTTCACATTTTGATCCAAAATATACATTTTTTTTTAAATTACCCTACAGAATGCTTGAAGTAACCATCTGGCATATCAAGGCATCATTTTTAAAGATTTTTTTTATTTTGCTATCAACTTTACTATAAGTTTTAATTCTGTGTTGTATAAACATTTTGCACAATTAAAGTAACAGTAGAAAAGAGCAACATTCTCATTCTCCATACTTTAGCAATTTTCAACCCTAACCCATTCAAGCACAGAAGAGGATCCATGTAATCAAAGTGTGTCATTTAGCAACCTTTTTGTTTTTATAAAAAAGGGTTTATCATCATGGTCTTTAAAAAATTAGGAATTTCAGTTGAACGCAGTGGCTCACACTTGTGACACCAGCACTTTGGGAGGCGGGCAGATCACTTGAGGTCAGGAGTTCAAGACCAGCCTGGCCAAAATGGAGAAACCCTGTCTCTACTAAAAATACAAAAATTAGCCCAGCATGGTGGTGCATGGCTGTACTCCCAGCTACTCAGGAGACTGAGAAAGAAGAATTGCTTGAACCCAGGAGGCAGAAATTGCAGTCAGCTGAGATCACACCACCGCACTCCAGCCTGGGCCACAGAGTGAGACTCCATCTCAAAAAAAAACACAAAAAACAAAAAACAAAACAAAACAAAAAACCCAAAACCAAAAAACCCAGAAATTTTATTTTAACACTGTTTAATTTTCTAAAAATCTACATGTAAAAGTATTGGTATGCAAGTAAGTACTCATTTGCATTATGTTACAAGTATAATTATACAAGGCTGTCAGGTAAAAACGGTAGAACACAAACATCTCCTTAATCTGTAGATCAATGCCACAAATTCAACTATAAAATCATGGGCCAATTTTACTATACCTAATGTCATTTCTAATCAATTTCACTTTTTTGCAGCAGCAAAAAAGATGGAAACAGTAGTTTGTATGATAGTCTCTAACAGAATGCTTCCATGACCAAATTCAATTTTATTCAAGGTGGCTGTATACATATTTCCTCTAAACGCTACTTTTGATAGGATAATAATAAAGTGATGAAAACGATCAATGTAAAAAACCATTACAGAAACCATTTTGGTACTTTGAACTGAAGCTTTTTTTTCCTGAAAGTCCTCTGTCACTCAGCTGCATCATCTATTATTTTTCACTAATTATTAGCTGTTTACGAATATGACAGCTACTGTACATAGCTGAAGAAATACAGCCTAGAAGGATTACGTCTTTCTAGTATTTTAATATGCAGGTCAAATTAATTCCAAAAGTGAGTTTCATCAGAGTGGTTCATTGCTTAGCTTTTATGAGGCTGCAGTAATGTCAATTTGAACTCCAAAATGCAACTAGTTTGCCAGCCAATTATTTATATCCTAATAAAAAATGCTACCACAATTAATCTGGGATTGTTTTTTCTGATAAATGGACAACTTATGACTTTTCAATTTATATATTTTCTCATTAGAACATTTCTGTCAATTTGTGATTTGGTGGCAAAAATAATAAATTAGCATTGTACATAATAAAAAATCACTTATTTTAGAAAAAAGTAGAAAATCAAAAATATCTGTACTTCAAGTAAAAAAACAATTCTTTTATTCCATAATAAAGTTTTTCAGTAGAACTTTCTCTGACGATAAAAATGTTCTATATCTGTTTCTCCATTACACTAGCCACATGTGGTCATTAAACTCTTGAAACGTAACTAGTTCAAATAAATAAGTAAAATTTTAATTTTAGCTAATTTAAATGTTAGAAGCCCCAAGTGGCTAGTGGCCGTATTAGTCACCATCTACAGCGTATTATGCCACGGATTTCTGCAAGTATTGTTGAAGTACTGGCAATGTATCTAAGCCTTGGGTAAATATACAAATTTTTTCTTGAATAGACAAAAATGTACTAAAAATGTGATAATCTCTAGAGATACTAATATGTTTAAGTACTTTATATGTAAAAAGAATTTAATTCACCCGTGCATACATAAATGGCAGATAGCTATAGACGTAGACTATATTTACATATATATATATGTAAGTGAAAGTGATACATGTCACACATGTCACTTTTTTTTTTTTCTTTTTTGAGACGGAGTCTCGCTTTGTCGCCCAGGCTGGAGTGCAGTGGCGCTATCTCGGCTCACTGCAAGCTCTGCCTCCCGGGTTCACGCCATTCTCCTGCCTCAGCCTCCCGATTAGCTGGGACTACAGGCGCCCGCCACCACGCCCGGCTAGATTTTCGTATTTTTTAGTAGAGACGGGGTTTCACCTTGTTAGCCAGGATGGTCTCGATCTCCTGACCTCGTGATTGGCCCGCCTCGGCCTCCCAAAGTGCTGGGATTACAGGCATGAACCACCATGCCCGGCCCATATATCACATTTTATTGGCCAAGTCAAGTCATATAGACAAGTCTAATATCAGTATAGCTAAGAATATTATCTTCAGGAATTACCTGGTAGAGAGCGATCAGGTAATAAAGGGCAGTACATATTTAGACAATAATTATTCTCTATAGATTGATAGGTACATACATACATAAATATAGATAGATAAATTATATTCACATACGAATATGTATATATACACACACCCACACACATAGATATATGTTATATACAAATACACATATATGTATATAACAATATATATTTATATACTTATACATGTTCATAACAAAAGAGATTTGAACTGGTTAAAAATTATACATAAAATTAACAGATTACAAAAATAAAGAATTAAGAATAGAATAAAAATAAGATGTAATTTAAAAGGAGGGAGTATACAAATATCAAATCATAAGATGTTTTATGGTTGATAGAGTTGGACTGTAAATTGGGTTCTGAACTTCCTAGTATCCCAAAAGAGGAAATACATAATCAATTTCTACACTTAAACCCACAAACGGATCAATTTCTTAGAGAAACATGGCTTAACTGGAAGAATTTATGAAAATACCTTGTAATAATGAAAAACCCATTCCTTAACAATTACCTTATAATAAATATATATTATATATATAACATATATAATATATATTATAAATATTTAATACTACAGTAAAAGAATAGCCCTAATGCCTCATAGGTGCCCAATACATATTTCTTGAATGAAATATGTCTTGAATGGAAAAAGAAAGGCAGAAATGTCAAATTCCCTATAGCAGAAAGATAAAAAAGTGACTTAATGTAAGCTAAAGGTGTAACATTAAAGTTGAAAAAAGTAAAAGATCTTTCACAAGAAGGCAACTATATAAATATGTGTATGCATATCAAGATTTCTAATTGTGTGATTTAATACAAAAATGTTTAGAGTATGTAGAAGAATAAACGAACTACAGGTGATACAGGTAATCACATGAAAGAAAGAAAGAATTATTGGATCATTTTGTGAAAAAGAAACTGTTTCTTTGTTGGGCAAGTAACACAATCAGAATTATAATAAAAGTTTACAAGACTTTTGAGTCCAAAATTGTGTAATTTAAGCCAGTTACTTAGGTAATTGGTGCAGTATTATGCACAATTTATGAACTTACAAAATAGTTAACCAGCAGAACTCAATGCTAGACATGTCAAGAAGTCTGGAAAGAATTATATTACAAGACAGTCATATTAGATATTCTATTTTGAAATGGCTGTGTATTACATACAGAAATTGGTTGTGTTTTCAGAACTCAAGAAGAGTACCTTTATTTTAATTAGTAAAGAAGAGGAGTTTGCTATTTAAGCATAAATTTATACAGGGGAATGAAGTAATACTTTTAAATAAAGATGCTTGATTATAAGAAAATTGCATATACTAAACTTTTAGAACACAGCACAATGCTCTCAAAAATGTTAAGCAAATTAATCAATGAATAACACTTATAGGTAAATTTTGAGGTTTGCTCAGTCCATATTCACAAATATGTAGGCTGATGACACCAAAATATACATCTCTGACTGTAACCTCTTCCCTAATCACTGGACTCATATAAATTGAATATATTCAACTACCCTCCAAGGGGTGAAGTTGGGTGTTCAAAGGGTATGAATGTTTAATTTCAAATTTAATATTTCCAAAACTTAATTATTCACTTCTCCTCAAACATATTTCCACACCAGTCTTCCTCATCGCAGTAAGTGGAAAATTTGTTCTCCCAGCTGCACATGTTAATAACCTTAGAGTCAACCTTAACACTTTATCTCACATATATTCATCATTGAATTACGTTGACTCTGTCTTCAAACACATCCAGCATGTAACCACATCTCATCACATCTATCGCTACATCCCTAGTCCAAGTCACCACTCCCTCTTCACAGGATTATTTAAAAGGTTTTTCGTATGTTGTTTATTTTCCTTTTCTTCTTTCTTCCTTCTTTCCTTCCTTCCTTCCCTCCTTTCTTTCCCTCCTTTCCTCATTCCTTCCCTCCTTCCCTCCCTCCCTCCCTCCCTCCCTCCCTCCTTCCTTCCTTCCTTCCTTCCTCTCTCTCTCTCTTTCTTTCTCTTGATCCCTTTATAATCTCTTGTTCATAGGGTAACCAAAGGGATCATTCTGAAATGTAAATTAGATTATGTAGCTTCCCAACTGAAAACCCTATGATTTTTACAGTGTCAAGTCTTATGTCTAAGTTTCTCATTCATTTTGAGTCAATATTGATGTATAGTGTAAGCTAAGAATCGAATCTCTTTTTTTTTTTTTGCATGTGGATTTCTAGTTTTCTCAACACTATTTGTTGAACAGATAATTCTTCCTTATTATGTATTCTTGTCATCCTTATCAAAGATACGTTGACCATATATGTGTAGATTTACTTTTGGGCTTTGTATTCTGTTCCATTGGGCTATATGTCTGCCTTTATAACAGAACCATACTGTTTTGATTATTGTAGATTTGTAATATATTTTGAAATCAGGAAATATGTTGCCTCCAGCTTTATTCTTTCTCAATAGTGATTTGACTATTCATGGCCTTCATGGTTTCATATGACTTTCAGAATTATTTTTTCTATTTCTGTACAAACTTCCATTGAAATTTTGATAGGTATTACATTAAATCTGTATTTCATTTTGGGTAGTATGAATATTTTAACAATTTAAAATCTTCCAAGCTCAGCATAGTGGCTCCACCTGAAATCTCAGCACTTTGGGAGGCTTGGGTGGGAGGACTACTTGAGGCTAGGAGTTCAAGAACAGCCAGGGAAACATAGCAATACTCTATCTCTACAAAAAATTAAAAACTAGCCAGGCATGGTGGTGCATCTCTAGGTACTAGAGTGGCTGAGGCCCGGAGGATGATTTGGGACCAGGAGTTAAAGGTTGCAGTGAACTATGATCATGCCACTGCACTGCATCCTGTATAACAGAGTGAGACCCTGTCTCTTAAAAGAGAGGGAGAAAAAAAAGAAAATTCTTCTAGACATAAATGTAAGAACTGAAGCTTTAAAACTCCTAGAATAAAACATATTAGAAAAGCTTATTGATATTGGTCTTAGCAATTATTTCATGTATATGACACCAAAAGTACAGTCAGCAAAAACAAAAATAAATGGGTCTATGTCAAACTAAAAAAGCTTCTGCACAACAAAGGAAACAATTGACAAAATAATAAGACAACCTATAGAATGGGAGAAAATGTTTGCAAATCATATACCTGATAAGGGTTAATATCCAAAAAACTGATTAAAAATGGACTAAGGACTTAAGGAGACATTTCTCCCAAGAAAACATACAAGGAAATGCAAATTATGACCACAATGAGATAACATCTCACACCTGTCAGGATGGTTATTACCAAAAAATCAAAAGCCAAGTGTTGGCAAGGATGTGAAGAAAAGGGAACATTGGCACACTCTTGGTGGAAATGCAAAGGTACAGCTGAGACAGGCAAGCTGGCAGGCTTCTGATTTTGATGTGGTTTAGAGAAAAAGAAAAAATGCCTCTCACTCAAGCTATAGCTGACCTAACTTCTAGCTAATCATCAAATAAAGACCCAAGAAGCTATTAATTACAGGTTCCTGCTTTAGGGGGCTAGGGACTTCCCTGGGACTCCACATGTGAAGATAGACTTGAACTTCAACTCACAGTTACCCCTTCCTCATTTTAATGCTAAAAATCATACCCAGGGGTGGAGATTTAAACTGCATATCTTCCATGCAATGTATTAAGAAGTGCATAAGGCCACTGAACAAGCACTAGAGAAACCCCTGCTATACAGGACCTGATGAAACCCTTCCCTATAGAAAGGACCTATAAAACTAATGCACATACTACTCTCAGGGAGCAGCCCACCCTTTTCTTTTTGTAGTGCTGACTTCCTTGTGCACAAGTGAAATAAATCTTTCTCTTTCTCTTTGCTGCTATGTCTAGTGATCTCTCTTTATTTCTATCCTGGGAGATTACAAGAACCCAGAGTGCCAATAGCACAGCCATTATGGAAAACAGTATGGAGACTCTCAAAAAATTAAAAATAGAACTACCATATGATCCAGCAATCCTACTTCTGAGTTTTTTATCCAAAAGAACTGAAATCGGTATCTCAAATTGATAGGAGCACTTCTATGTTCGTTGCAGTTGTATTCACAATAATCAAGATGTGGAAACACCCTGAATGTCTACTGATTAATGAATGGATAAAGAAAATGTACGCTATACATACAAGGGGATACTATTCAGATTTTTTAAAAAAGAAGGAAATTCTGCAGTATGTGACAACATGTATGAATTGGAAGACATTATGCTAATTGAAATATGCCAGTTATAGAAAGATAAATATATCACGATTCTATTATATGATGTATCTAAAACTAGGCAAATTCATAGAATCCCAGAAAGGGATGGTGGTTGTCAGGTGGGAAGACAGTGAAATGAGGAGTGACAAATTAAGTTTCAGTCAAGGAAGATGAATAAGCTCTAAAGATATTGTATACAATATGGTATCTATATTCAACAATATTATATTGTATAGGTAAAAATTTGTTACAATGATAGATCTCATGTCTTCTTACCAGAACTGAAACAATAACAAATACAAAAATGAATCCTCTGTTGGCATCCTGTCTTACTCAGAAAAGAAATCTAAAGCGCTTATCATTCCTTATGCACTCTGGCTCTCTGCCAGCTCTCAGATAAAATATACTACCATTCATCTCTATTCCAGCCATGACAAGAAACTTATTACTTCAAGGTCTTTGCATTGTCAGTCCCCTCCACCTGGAAAGGTTCTTCTCTCAGAAGTAGACATGATTGTCTTGCTCACTTCATTCCCTGGCCACTCTAATTAATTAAAATAACTGTCACCATCTCCATTATTTCCTCTACTCAATCTAAACAGTTTTCAATACTCATAATGCACTGAAAACTATAATTAGCCTATGGAATTGGCATTGACCTTGCTTTAATTTCTCATTTCTATCATCTCCCTTGCATTACCTGCTTTTGCTGCCATTGTTCTAAGTATTTCTAGGCTACATACACAGAAGTAATACATTCAGTGTTGTCTACCAAGTTACTACATTTCATAAAAATCAAAGAAAGATTTAATCAGCTGTTTATCTGCACTGAAAAAAAAAGATAGATAATTGGAGACCCATACAACCATTATATAAGTATGAAATAATTGGATTGGGGAAATGAAAGGAAAGACAAAGGGAATGCTTTTAAGTATTCCCTTTGAAAAATTAATCCCAACCAGGGTTTACTCTCTTACCTATTAGCTTGAGACCTAAGAGTTTAAGAAAGAAAAGAATGTGTCTGATTTCCATGAATAACTTGTACAGGGAAAGGTCAATTTAGAAAGGAAAGGGAAAGCATTATATTTTAATTTAGGTGCACTCACCAATGAATTCTCTATGTGATTAAAATAGTCTTGATCCTCACTATGCATTTATAGTGCTGTATAACTTACAGAATGCTTTTGTGTGCATTATCTCATTGAATCATCAAAAATCAATATTCGTGTTGTGGCTATGACTAGATTAACTAACTAACATCATCCCAAACAAAAGTTAATTTTGAATACTCCAAAGAATTGATGGCTGTTTGAGACAGGTGTTTCTGCCCAACTCTAGACTTCTGCGTAACAAAGTAGGTTATAATTAGAAGTGATTTAAAACAAAAACAAACCAAAAAAAAGGTCTTTGTCCTAGCTTTTCTACTCTCCTTACTTATCATGATCCATGAAAAAAGTTACCTTATCCACTTGCAAATGATTGAAAATATGTAACTAGAGATAATTTTCTTTATTGTAAACTTCATTTTCTCTTCATATAAAACTACATTGACCAGGTAGCTATTGAATTATTGAAATGTGGATAGTCTGAACTGAGATGTGTATAATATAAGTACTAGATTTTTAAAATGTAAAAGTAAGTTTTGTCTAATAATTTTACATTGATTACATGTAAATCAATGAAACTGATGATATTTTGTAAATATCATGCTAAAGTATATCACTCAAAGAAGTTTTTCCCTGTTTCTTTTTGCTTTTTTGATACAGTTACTAGGAAAATTTTAATTACATATATGACTCAAAATTGTGGCTCACATTATATTACTATCGAAGAGATCATTCAGAGAGGGCATATAACTTATAGATTCCTAAAATCTGGTTTAATTAGATGTAGTTAAGGAAGAAACAAATGAGAGTATCATGAAATTTATCCCAAGTTTAGAAAGAAAGACACAGGAAAGTGTGCAAGATATTTCGTATCAGAAAATTGGTAATAGAAGGCTTTATGATTGGCAATATTTACTGAGTGTTTACTAGGTACCTGGCATTGCACAAACTTTATCCCATTTAATACTTATAAAACCCCATGAGGTAGAGACTAAATAAGGTGAAACCCATTTTCTGTATTTTTTTCCACAGTCATTTGCCAAAATTTAGCTTCTCTTTCTCTTTCATTTTGTTGAACTCTATAATCTTGAGGCATTTTTTTTTTACTATAGTAACGTCCATTTAATTTTGGTATAGAATTAATACTAAAGAAACATTAAAACATTAAAAAGTGGTTAGGAAATGCATGTCTGCAGCAGACTCCTATAATCAATAAGAATAAAATATAAAAGAAAATGTTTCTTAAGTTTATACAGAGATATCATAGCTGCAGAGAAGGCCTAAATGGGACACTAGGCTACAAACACCTCTCCTTATCCACTCCTTGACTATTTCAGGCCTTATTTCCTAAAATAATGCAGTTGGTAATAACATTGATCCAAGACAGGTGTTGCATGCTGGTATTACCCTAAAGCACTGGCAGTCATTGATAACCAGACTATGGCTCAAGAACAGTTTGGGTATTGTCCTCCCATTCCTTTTTCCTATCTATCATTAGATTTTTGAGTATCTTTATTTTCTTATCTATTACTTAAAATATCTAGAAGTTATTTTAACTCTGCTTTTCCTGAAGATTAACATAAATGTTGTTATATGTTTTGCTCTCTCTCTCTTTCCACATTATCATGAAATTAGACCCCCCAATTGCAGTAGGAGTTTATGCTTCATTTTGTTCTGACATCTTCATTTGTATGAGCCACCACCAGGGAAACCTCATTAACTGTGAATTTGAAAGCTTCATATAAACTACAAGTCTCTCATAAATCTAATCTTATTACAGGAGACCCTTACATTCTCCAGGGATACCCGTTGAGACTTTCAAGAATTCTCAAAGTCAAGAACACTATTATAGCACATAATTTCTTTCTTAAAAATTCAGTAATGCAGAATAAAAAAATATATGAAAGGTCTCTTCAGACTCTTAATGGTTCTAATAACACAAAGCCAAAATCGTATATAAAGTCATTTGAGAGATAAGAATTGTTATTTTCTTCCACCTCTTTATTGCTCACCAACTTTATTGGTTGCCTACTGTCTGGGAAGTATTTCACAATGCAACAAAGTTTGCATCGTGTCATGAATGTAGCTGCATGGAAGATGATAAAGAGAGAACAATAAAAGCCCAAATTGGGATGAATTTTCAACTAGGAAAAATGGATGAGGAAGCTGATACCAGGTCACTAGCTGTGAAGCATAGAGATTCAATTTCAGTTGTGGTAAATTATGAATTATTACCAGTTATTGCAAATGAAGACTGTTTGTAAATAATGAAAAGAAATTTGTAATGCCAAATGTAAGGAACTACTACTCGAGCTATTTAATCAAAATTGAACTGATCGGGTATACAGTCATGTGCCACATTACATTTCAGTCAAAGAACCACACATACAATGGTGATTCCATAAGATTATAATACTGTATCTTTAATGTGCCTTTTTATGTTTAGATAAGTTTAGATACACAATACTTACCACTGTGTTACAATTGCCTCCAGTATTCAGTACAATAACATAATGTACAGGTTTGTAGCTTAGAAGCAATAGGTCATACCATATAGCCTAGATGTGTAGTAGGCTATACCATCTTAAGTTTGCTTAAGTACACTCTATAATATTTACACAATGAAATTGCCTAATGATGCATTTCTCAGAACATATCATAGTCAATAATCGGTGCATACATGTATTTGAATGCTAGTTGATCAATACAACATTCCTTGGAAAAAATGTTCAATTATTCTTAAATTTTTATTGATTCTCAACCTAGAGCAATACTTTATTGAGTGGCTAGTGGCTAATGTAGAAGCAAACAGATCAAAATTTAGCACCCCAAATTCAAAGCATCTGCACTCCTGACTTTCAATTGACAGTATATATTTGAAATCGCTGTCTAATATTCTCTGTCCATGGTGCCTTAATATCACAATTCTAACAAACTCTGAATCATCATCAGTCAGGTCCATTATATTGCAGTCTTACCTCCCTTAATAGCTGCTTATATCTTTACATCTTTTTAATGCATACCAGAAATCCCCAAAGTGAATTTCGCACATTCCATGTATCCTTTTTGCCTGATTGATGTTGTAACCAACAGTTTTGTTGAATGAAATATGAAGCATGAACTATTAAGTAGCATTTGAAAATCTTTGTTTTTTAAACATGTTTAATTTGATGATACTTTTGATACAAATAATGAGTTATCAGAGTTAGCCTCCTTTGTATTCTACTTCTATATAACATAATTTTCTTCCTCACTTAAGTCACACATCACTGAATGACAGGAATACTTTCTGAGAAATGCATCGTTAGTCAATTTTGTCATTGTGCAAGCACCACAGAGTACACTTACAGAAACATAGATGGTACAGCCTACTACACACCTAGGCTAAATGGGATAGCCTATTGTTCCTGGGCTATAAACCTGTATGTATATTATGTTCCTGTACTGAATACTCTAGGCAGTGGTAACACAATGGTAAGTATTTTTGTACTTAAACATATATAAAATAGAAAAGATACAGTAAAAATATGATATAAAAGATTAAAAATTGTACATCAATATAAGGCACTTACTATGAATGAAATTTGAAGGACTGGAAGTTGCTTTGGATGAGTCAGTGAGTGAATAGTGTGAGTGACTATGAAGGCCTAGGACATTACCGTATTCTACTGTAGGCTTTATAAACACTGTAAACTTTGGCTACATTCAGTGTATTAAAAAAATTTCTTTCTTCAATAATAAATTAAACTTAGCTTACCGTAACTTTATTACTTTATAAATGTTTTAATTTTTTGACTCTTTTGTTAATAACATAACTTAAAATGCAAATATGCTGTACAGATGTACAAAAATATTTTCTTTTTTTTTGTTTTTTTTTGGAGATGGAGTCTCGCTCTGTCACCCAGGCTGGAGTGCAGTGGCACGATCTTGACTCACTACAAGCTCCACCTCCCGGGTTCAAGTGATTCTCCTGCCTCAACCTCCCAAGTAGCTGGGATTACAAATGTGCACCATCACACTCAGCTAATTTTTTGTATTTTAGTAAAGGCACTGTTTCACCATGTTGGCCAGGCTGGTCTCAAACTCCTGACCTCAAGTGATCTGCCAGCCTTGGCCTCCCAAAGTGCTGGGATTACAGACGTGAGCCACCACACCAGGCCAAATATTTTCTTTATATCCTTGTTCTATAAGCTTTTTTTTCAATGTTTAAAATTTTTATTTTTATTTTTACTTTTACTATTTAACTAAGACCCAAGAGCACACATAAACATAGGCCTACACAGGGTCATGGTCATCAACATCACTGTCTTCGACCTCCACGTCTTGTCCCACTGGACTTCAGGGGTAGTGCACATGAAGTTGTCAACTCCTTTGGTAACAATGCCTTTGTTTGGAATACTTCCAAAAGGACCTACCTGAGATTGTTTTACAGTAAACTTTTTTTAATAAGTAGAAGGAATATACTCTAGAATAATGATAAAATGTATATTATAAACCATTGATATTGTCATTTCTTATCATTATCGAGTTTTATATACATAATTATATGTACTATACTTTTATACAACCACCAATGCAGTAGGTTTATTTAAACCAGCACCACCACAACAAGTGAGTAATGTGTTGCACTACAAAGTTATGACAGCTACGACCTCACTAGGTGAAACAAGTTTTTCAGCTTCATTATAATCTTATGAGACCACTGTATATATGTGGTCCATAGTGGATCTAAAGTCCTTATGGGGCATGTTGACTATTTGTTCCGTGGGTCTGATACAGTCTTTCATGAGTAGTTATTAATGATTTATGATAGAGGCCCTCCAAAATATTCATTAATACATCTTTCCCTTTCTTCTTACAATCACTTTCTCTGAACTATACACCCACATGCACATAAACACACAATTTACATCTGAGGCTAGATATTTAATAATTTTTAATTCACACAGATTATAAATTAATGAACAACATGATACTTCTTTAATTGAAGAAGTGTACTTTCAGAGTAAAATAAATGTTAACTAACCTTATTTGTATTTCAGGGATTCAGCTTCCCTCCCTTCTAACTAACTTAAATGCCACACTGTGTTTCCGGATTTGTTAACAACTCCAAGCACATTTCCCTCCCCTTGCCTCTGTCAACCCCACAAGCTGTTCCTTCTGACTTCAAAGTGTAAATATTTTTGCTTCATCATCAGTTTTCTAGTCTGAAGGGAGAGTTGGCTCACCTAAAAAGAAACAGTACTTCGCAACAAAAACAATAGAATAGAGATGCTAATCAATGCTTCCTTTTAAAATATGTATGCCTTTTCCTCCAAAAATAAAAAAGGAAAATTTCTTTTATAAAAGAATAGAGGCAACGTGTGAAACAGACCTTCAAATATTATTAATTATATTTTTTAAATTCAAGTTATTGAAATCAGACAGCACAATTAGCTGAATTACTTATGCATTCAGACAGTTATTTAGATCAGGTATTTAATATTTTCCAAAAATTAAAATGTTTGTAAACAAAAGTTCCCAAGTTACTCTCATGCTTTGTGCAGTTACCTCGATGTAGCTGGATGATGTATGCAAAAGTATCACCTTTTAAATATTGGCTTTGCTTTCGATGAACAGGCTCTAATCCTTTTGGCTTCCCTGTTCTTAGCTCTTAGTGCACGTAATCAATCTTTCCTGTTTATCCTGAAGATCAACACTGATGATCTTACAACCTGAGACAACATAGTGTTGAGCTTAATCTAAAATGCAAATGTTGCAGTGTTTCAAACACATCACCAAAAGACAATGTTCATTTCGTATTTACTTTGTAAACTTCCTTTGCTAGCTGGCTGGCTGGATTCTGGTCAACTTTGGACTCTGCAGGAATATGAAACATTAATTATACTTGGGTCCATTTTTTTGATTTCTTAAATCCACACTTCAAATGAAAGATGCGAAGAAGAAAGAAACAGACTTTAATCAAACATTTTTAAGATGCCATTTAATTGTGTAAGTCATTTGAATTGGTTCTCCTTGGTTTTCTTCACATTGTTCTAGTCAGTCATTGAAGGAGTTGCATTAAACTTCTAAGATTGTTGTGTTTATTGTGAACAAATGAAAATAGACCAGTTTTTTTTTGTTTTTTTTTTTTGTTTTTAGTATCTTGCTTGGCAGTGCATTAAGTGTTGTCCTACAATATGTTCTTTGCTTTTTCCCAGGCACTTACTAAATACATTTCATCCCTCATTTTACAAGTGAAGAGAGAGTGGCACAGACGAAGCAACACGCTGAAAGTCACAAAGCTTAAGCAGTCAGGCATTGTTCTCTACGGCCAGTCATGCTTGTTGTTCTGGCTTATGAAAGTTTTATTTCTGCTCCATTAGACAAAGGCCCTTAAAAATTACCTTTATATGCTTACATATATATATATTTATACTTTAAATTCTAGGGTACATGTGCACAACGTGCAGGTTTGTTACATATGTATACATGTGCCATGTTGGTTTGCTGCACCCATTAAGCTGTCATTTGCATTAGGTATTTCTCCTGACGCTACCCCTCCCCCATCCTCCAACCCCATGACAGTGTGTGATGTTCCCCACCCTGTGTCCAAGTGTTCTCACTGTTCATTTCCCACCTATGAGTGAGAACATGTGGTGTTTGGTTTCCTGTCCTTGTGATAGTTTGCTCAGAATGATGGTTTCCAGCTTCATCCATGTCCCTACAAAGGACATGAACTCACCCTTTTTTATGGATACATAGTATTCCATGGTGTATATTTGCCACATTTTCTTAATCCGGTCTATCATTGATGGACATTTGAGTTGGTTCCAAGTCGTTGCTATTGTGAATAGTCCCACAATAAACATATGTGTGCATGTGTCTTTATAACAGCATGATTTATAATCCTTTGGGTATATACCCAGTAATGGGATCACTGGGCCAAATGGTATTTCTAGTTCTAGATCCTTGAGGAATTGCCACACTGTCTTCCATAATGGCTGAACTAGTTTACAGTCCCACCAACGGTGTAAAAGCATTCGTATTTCTCCACATCGTCTCCAGCACCTATTGTTTCCTGACTTTTTAATGATCACCATTCTGACTGGTGTGAGATGGTATCTCATTGTGGTTTTGATTTGCATTTTTCTAATGGCCAGTGATGGTGAGCATTTTTTCATGTGTCTTTTGGTTGCATAAATGTCTTCTTCTGAGAAGTGTCTGTTCATATCCTTTGCCCACTTTTTGATGGGGTTGTTTGATTTTTTTCCTGTAAATTTGTTTAAGTTCTTTGTAGATTCTGGATATTAGCCCTTTGTCACAGGGGTAGATTGCAAAAATTTTCTCCCATTCTGTAGGTTGCCTGTTCACTCTAATGATAGTTTCTTTTGCTGTGCAGAAGCTCTTTAATTAGATCCCATTTGTCAATTTTGGCTTTTGTTGCCATTGCTTTTGGTGTTTTGCCCATGAAGTCCTTGCCCATGCCTGTGTCCTGAATGGTATTGCCTAGGTTTTCTTCTATGGTTTTTGTGGTTTTAAGTCTAACATTTAAGTCTTTAATCCATCTTGAATTAAATTTTGTATAAGGTATAAGGAAGGGATCCAGTTTCAGCTTTCTCCATATGGCTAGCCAGTTTTCCCAGAACCATTTATTAAATAGGGAATCCTTTCTCTATTGCTTGTTTTTGTTAGGTTTGTCAAAGATCAGTTCAATCAGGCAAGAGAAAGAAATAAAGGGTATTCAATTAGGAAAAGAGGAAGTCAAATTGTCCCTGTTTGTAGATGACATGATTGTATATTTAGAAAACCCCATTGTCTCAGCCCAAAATCTCCTTATGCTGATAAGCAACTTCAGCAAAGTCTCAGGATACAAAATCACTGCAAAAATCACATGCATTCCTGTACTCTAATAACAGACAAAGAACCAAATCATGAGTGAACTCCCATTCACAATTGCTACAAAAAGAATAAAATACCTAGGAATCAAACTTACAAGGGATGTGAAGAACCTCTTCAAGAACTACAAACCACTGCTCAATGAAATAAAAGAGGACACAAACAAATGGAAGAACATTCCATGCTCATGGATAGGAAGAATCAGTATCATGAAAATGGCCATACTGCTCAAGGTAATTTATAGATTCAATGCCATCCCCATTAAGCTACCAATGATTTTCTTCACAGAACTGAAAAAAACTACTTTAAAGTTCATATGGAACCAAAAAAGAGCCCATATTGCCAAGACAATCCTAAGCAAAAAGAAGAAAGCTGGAGGCATCACACTACCTGACGTCAAACTATACTACAAGGCTACAGTAACCAAAACAGCATGATACTGGTACCAAAACAGATATATAGACCAATGGAACAGAACAGAAGCCTCAGAAATAACACCACACATCTACAACATTCTGATCTTTGAAAAATTACCTTTATATTCTATAGAAAATACCAATGTCAAGTTGGAAGTTAGAACTGTGAAAATCATTAATTACAATTCACTTAAGCATTGATTGTTTAAAACCAAAGATGGGATTATTTCAAGTTACACTACGAACTTTCCCCCATCCTTTTTACTTCTCCATAATTACAAAGTTATTATATGAATAGCCCTTAGCCCACTATATCTTCCTCTTCCTTCCCCAAGGGTTACTGCAATCAGTATGGCACATGTGCATCACACCATATACATATATCATAAGGCATATATGATCATATGGAAATGTACGATTTAGTTTTATGTTTTTAAAAAATGGAAGACTGTAGTTTGTTTTGTAACTTGCTTTTTTACTTAATAATATATCTTGGGCACCTTTATTTCAGTATATTTAAATCTGTCTCTGCCGCATTCTTCTAAAATGCTTTATAGTATGGGTTTTTCTGATTTATTTAATCATCCTCCTATTAATAGATATCTAGATTTCTTCCATGTGTTAATTATGTGAGATAGTGCAACAATGATTATTCTCATGAATGCACATATGGTTTTTTTTTTAATAAGACAGATAATGTTAAGTGGAATTGCTAGGTCAAAAAGTACACATACAAGGCACAAGATAATTATTTTTCTCACACTCTCTGCTTAATTAAAATATTTTTTTCATTTTTGCCCCTGGTGAATTAAAATAAATTTTGAATATTCTTGAATTTTAGTGAGATTAGGTAGGCCTTTGTGTATTTATTGGTTATTTAGATTTCTGTAAATTTTCTATTTATTGTATGTTTCTCCTCAACATACAATGGGGAAACAGGATCATTTGTCCACTTTTCAGAATCTTCATTTTTAAGGAAAAGTTCTAGCATCTGAGCTAAAAAAGCATTTCCTTTCAAGTTTAATTGCTTAAAAATCAAGGTCTTGGTGTTATCCTCTAGAAAGAATTTGGATGTGATACTTCATTTTTGTACAGTCAGAAGCACTCACATATCTTCTTGTTTCTGTCTTGCCAAAGACTACACACTCAACCTATTTAGTAGGCATGCTTGCCAACAGATTCTAATTCTGATGGCTCTTCCCTTAAAAGAAAACAAATATCTCTCAAATCCGATATTATTATGATGTTTATACTCCCAGAAAAGTCTGAAAATGTAAGAAATTCTGGTGGATAATTTAGAGGTTTATTCTTTTCATTTTGAGGGCGTTTGGGGGCAGCTCAGTCTTAAAAGAATTATTACTCTATAGAATATTAACATTTGTTTATTAGACTTCTCTTGGCTCTGCCAGTCATGACCTACTTAGCATAAAAATGGTTATGTTAAATCAACTTGATAGCACTGGATAAGTTCCAAAATGCAATGTCTGTACGCATGTAAAGATATGCTGACTCAAACTAAGTACCTAAAGCATCTAAGTAACTTTTTGCATGATTTTGAGGATAGAAAAATAATTTAGAAGCTAGAGATAATCCCAAGATTTTGCTGATAAGAGAATAGAATTATGCCCTGGAATGTACTTCCTTGGGGAGTAAGACAAAGAACGTAGCTCTTTATAACAGTCTCATATAATTAAACTGATATGGAAGCATTGAGACCTATCAGAAAGTTTTTAGAGTACCAGCTTATTAAAGAATCACCATTTTGATCATCACAAAGACTCCAGATATATTACAGCATGGCTAATATGCCAAATTCTAATGCTAGAAACTTCTAAAAGAAGAATTTACATTTTTAGAGAGTATTTGAACGTTTTTATCCAGTTTTTACCATTAAAATTAGAACGCTGTTAAAAACATTTAGAAATCTAAAAAGTACTTTATGTATTTAAAAAATTATCTGTTTTCCTATGACTGATAAGCTACTACATATCTAAATTTCTGTTAAAGGATTTTAAAAATATATTTTCATGACAACAAAAAGATTGTGGATATTTTCATCACATATGTGACATCTGGTATCTTCTTTGCTGCCAAGATCTATAAATGACTTAAACTGTCACTTAACTTTGAAAAAAGCAACCTTAATAAAGAAGCCAAAAAACCTAAAGTATATAATCAATATAGCAACAACTGTACAAAGCTCTAATATTGGTGGCTACCGAAAATAAATTTATGACAGAGAAAAAAATTTAAGGTTAGTTAAAATTCAAAGTAAGAAAATAAAAAATAGCAAATTTATTCATTTGTATTTAGTATAATCTTATGGTCTCATACAGTTAATGGCTTATATTAGAGGCCCAGTTATCTATTGCTGAATAACAAATCACTGCAAAACTTAATAATTTAAAACGAGATAATTTTATTGTCTCCACCATTCTGTGAATCAACTAGGCCCAACTCCATGTGATGCCAACTGGGTCTGCTATATCCAAGATGGCTCACTACACGCCTGGCACTTTGGTGAAGAAAGCTGAGTATCTCAGCTCAGCTGCTGGGATGCTGTGACAACTGCATCTCCAAATCGACTCTCCAACAAAATAGCCAACATTTTTACATGGCAGCGTGGAGCTATCCTAAAAAGCAAAGCAGAACCTACCAGTCCTTCTTAATTTTTTAATTTTAATTTTTATTTTTCTTTGAGACGGAGTCTCGCTCTGTCGCCCAGGCTGGAGTGCAGTGGCGCCATCTCCGCTCACTGCAAGCTCCGCCTCCCGGGTTCACACCATTCTCCTGCCTCAGCCTCCCGAGTAGCTGGGACTAAGGGCGCCAGCCACCATGCCCAGCTAATTTTTTGTATTTTTAGTACAGACGGGGTTTCACCGTGTTAGCCAGGATGGTCTCGATCTCCTGACCCCATGATCCACATGTCTCGGCCTCCCAAAGTGCTGGGATTACAGGCGTGAGCCACTGCGCCCGGCCAGAACCTACCAGGCCTTCTTACGGCTTACACCAGAAACTGGCCCAGAAACACTTGTACTACATCTAATTGCTTAAAGCAAATCACAGAGATAGCACATATGTACTATGGTAGAACTTAGCGACTAGGAGAGCTGGTTCATTGGGGCTATTTTTGGAGAGTAGCTACCACACTTAGTCCGCTAGCCAAGGATGATGCATTTTCCTCTCACTTTCAAAATAACACTTACCAATCTGCCTAAACCCCCAAATCTCATCACCATCAGTATTATACTTTAAGTTCAGAATCTCATCATGTAAATCAAGTCAAGCTGCTGTATTTAGCAACTGGCTTCTAAAGCAAATAGATTGAGGCTAGTAGGGTGAGGGTGGAACTTCCTCTTGATCAGAAGACCATCAAATAAAGAAACCAGCTATATGCCCACACATTTCCACCTTACGATGAGGAGACATGATCAAGAGAACCACAATACATACCTCCACTTAAAAAGAGGCAGGACAATGTGAGTGACATTGTAGTCACTGGGATGAGAAAATTCTGAGATCCAGTAGGAACAAGCTACCTACCATTTCACCTGGCTCAGGAGGCAGGGCATATGTTGATTAGGACCCATATATGTTCCCTGGGGTGGTTCTTCTTGACGCCTGGCAGCACACCATGAACTCTTTAATGACATATGTTTGCAGCTGCATAGTGTTCTTAGCCTGCTTTCTGCCCATAAGAAGTTGGGGACGCAAAAGTGTTTTTATGTTTTGAGCAGTGTCTGTTCCTTTCAGTCCAGGCTATTATAATTCCTTTTAAAATATGTGGACTTGTGTACAAATTATAATCCAATTCATTAGACAAAAGTGACGTCCACCTATTTCTCTGAGTAGAGTCTTTCTCTATTTGGGGTTACTTGTGAAGACCCTCACAGCAGAGAGGGCCAAAGAGTCTTGTCCTTAAAATTCTTAGAAGCAATTTCTGCTGAGAGGAAAATGAGACACTCTTCCACAATTTCCTGAAATCTCAACCAAATTACAACCATAGCTTTGGTTTGATTGTGAGCCTGAGGCCACAGATTTTACTGGCAGCACTCTGGGTTTGACCTCATTCCCTGAATTTTTTCCCATCACCACCAAAAATTATTTCATGCTTTTTTTTTTTTTGCAGTGAATGTTCCCCACCCCTGGCAAAAAACGATCTTCTGTTTTGCCTTTCTGTAATTTAATATAAATGAAATGATACAGTATTTACTCTTTAATATCTGGCTTCTTTGGCTAAGCATAATGCTTTTGAGAGTCATTTATGCTTTTTTGTAAAATGGTTGTTCAAACCTTTCTCTCTCTTTTTAATCATTTATTTGTCTTATTGTCAAGCTGTCAAGGGTTTTTTTAGTGTATTACAAATACAAGCACTTTGCCAGATATATGTATCTCTAACATTTTCTCTCAGATTGGCACTTTTGTTTTCATTTTCAATAGAATGTTGTGTTTTCTTTTCAACTGGTTTAAATTGTTTTCTAATTTTCCTTGTGATTTTTGTCTTTGACCCATGTATTCTTTAAAAGTATATTGAACAAATGCCAAATAACGGGGGACTTTTTCTGTATAACTTTTTGTTATTTATTTCCAATCAATTCATTCATCAATGAATGTATGTCCATAATTTGTCTATGCTTCTAAATTTGTCAAGACTGTTTTTTATGCTCCAGGATATATTCTGTGGTAGGCAGTTTTTAAGATGTTCCACCTGTAATCACTGGCTCCTGCATTTAGGTCCTTGTGTAACCCCTGACTTTGATTGTAGGCGGATTTAGTGACTAGCTTCTAGGAAATAGAATAAAGCAGATGTGATGGAATCTCATCTCTGAAATTAGGTTATAAAATGACTACAGCTTCTGTCTTAGATACTCTTTCTTGGACCTCTCATTCTTGGGGGAAGCCAGCTGCCATTTTGAGAGACAGCTCTGTGCAGAGGCTCATGTGACTGACCTGGATCAGAGCATCTGGGGCCTGCCCCAAGGCGGGTGAATTACTTTGAAAGTAGAACCCCTCTGAGTCAGCAATTTTGATGAATGTAGCCCCAGCTGACACATTGACTGAGGTAGCATCATAAAAGACCCATAGCTAGAACCACCGAGTTAAGCTGCTCCCAGATTCTTGACTCACAGAAACTGTGCCATAATGAATGTTTGCTGTTTATACTTATTAAGTTTTGGTAAAATTTTTTATGCAACAATAGATAACTAACATAGATATTGGTTATACTTCTTGGTGAATGTTCTGTTTCAACTGTAATTGTGAATTTCCCTGTTTATTTGTTTACATTAATAGGTTTTTATTTCATGTATCTTAACATTCTCTTATTAGTTGCATACACATATAAGAAATGTGATATCTTCTTGATGAATTGATCATTATTGTTATAAAATTTCCGCCTTTATATCTGGTAATATTCCTTGCCCTAAAGTCCATTTTATATGGCCTCTCCAGCTTTCTTTTGAACAATGTTACAATTATATATATATATTTTCCCATTCTTTTAACTTTTCTGCATTTTTATATTTACAATACATTTTCTGTAGACAGCATACAGTTGAGTATTTTTTATTTACGTTGAAAATTTCTGCTTTTAAATTGGAGTATTTACCCATCTACATTAAAGTGGTTATTGATGTGTTTGAGTTTAAATTTAACACCTTGGGTTTTTTTTTTTTCTGTTTGTTTCATTTTTACTTTTTTGCTTATTTCCTGCCTTACATTAATTGCAAATATTTTCAGATTTTGTTTTATCTACACAATTATCTTATTAGTGTTACCTCATTTATCTACTTTTAGAGGTTGCTTTAGGTTTACAATATTGGTTTGTAATTTGTGGCAGAGATGTTTCAAATAATATTATGCCACTTTGATATATAGGCCATTCTTCATAATAATACCTGAGACATTACATTCAGGAAAGCACATTTTTCAATGAAAATTTCCAGGGCTGAAAATACAAGACAGAGAAAAGATTTGTCATATCACTACATAGCCTAATAAGGACTAAGTCTTTATTCAAACAATTATATTGTTAATTAAAAAGACAATTTTGGCTATCTGGGAATAGCATGCTAATTACTCTTTTAGACTATGGAAACTATTTTTAGTGCTGGACTGAGAGCTGGAAAGCAAGGGCTGCTTACCAGATAATGGACAAACACCACTGTGCTCAGTTATCTTTACGTTCTTTCAGACTTCCATATTCAATTAATAATTATTTATATGATAAAAAGAGTGGTTATTTGTTTATTATTTTTAAAACACCATTTGGGTTCTCTGAATAGAATGATTTGCTAAAGATTGCTTTTTCAGATTAGAGTACATATGGAAAGGCCATAGACATCCAGAGTTCTATAATTGTTTCCAGAGGGGTGACTAGGTTCCCCAATATATGAATCACAAGAATCTACTCTTTGCACAATCAAGATTGTAGGAATGCTGTTCTACTTACTATTACAAAGGCTGGACCTTGACAAATGTACATTGACAAATGTACAAATGCAGAAACACTACTGGGTTGGTTTCCAGAATTTGGTTAATTGAAGATATACCTAAACTGAGTGTAGAAATCTCAATGCAGTCTCAGTGCTGAAGGAATTTTTGAGCAAATGCTGGTGGAATTATATGTGTGTGTATGTATATTTCAAAACCAATGCTCAGAAGTAGCAAATCAGTCAGTACTATCTAACAAACAGAAGCAAATATAAAAAGAAAGATGCCTTCTGACAATCTTCCCTATAGCACAGAATATAGGAAATGAATTTGGAACTGAATTGGATTTTTTAAATGAGCTAGTTTTCCTCCTTCTCAATGGTAGATTTATATATAATCAACGAACATCTGTTTCCATTCTTTTACTATCAACATGTGTTTTTATAATTAAAATACATTATCTGTAGACAACATGTAGTTGGGTCTTAATTCCTTTTATTCAGTCTAACAATTTCTGCCTTTTATTGAAGTGCTTACCCATTTACATTTAATGTGATTATAGACGCCGCCTCTTTCAGGGAATCTACTTATTGGATAAATTTGAAAATTTCTCATGTTTAACTCTTTTAGATTTGCCAGCCCATTTAAAGCAGGCAGACATCCTAAGGTATACCACGACAGTGATCTGATCTTTTTTGTCATATATAAGCCATGTGTTCATTAAAAGGAAGTTCCCAGGGCATAATGTTTCATTTTCCTTATGTGTGCAGTTTTGTATTTTATTTTTAGTAAGTTATATATGACAGTACTTCATCCAGTTCGACTATACTGAAGTGTTTATTAAAGTCTAGTCCTAAAAGTCACTCAAGTGGAATTTTTTTTTTTTTTTTTGCTAAAAAAATGGAAGGAATTGGAGAATAAAGAAATAATACCTATTGGGTTGCTTGAACCCGGGTTTTCATTTTATGATGCTAATTTTATTATACTGCACAGAAGCAGATTCATCTAATTCAGGAGCAACTTCATGTGTTATATCTGCAGGATGTACATAGTCAGTTGTTACAACATTATCTCTCTCCTGAGAAACATAGGCAAAGATTCCATGAAAGAAAATTTCTGCAGAAAACTGAAACTACAGACTGCCTACATGTGATGATCAGTCAATCTGTCAAAAAGGTAGTTACTGAGCACATTCAGGGTTCAACGTGTTCCTCTAAGTGCCTGATCTCACTTACTTTTGACTTTATCATCTTTCAGAAGGAATTAAAAGCCCTTCTCCCTGACTGATCCTTCTTTAGGCATTAAACAATGATAAAATATATCCTTAAATAGAGTTTAACTTCAGACACCTTCCCTTTAACATCACAACCTCCTCAAATCTCTCAGTGAGTTAACAACGAGTTTGAATTTATGCATTATTTTCCAGAGACAGAGACATACAAGTAGGTTTTTCAAGTCAATATTGGAGAAGAGATAGTTAGATTAACATAGTCTTCTGGATTTGCCAATCAGGTAGAGTTAATCATTACTCATTACTTCCCTCATTTTATTTTGCTCATTCATTTACCAAATAAAATTTTAAGTCACTGAAAAATATACTATATTGCACAGAATAAAACACTGTCTCTGAATTGAAGAGCTCCAATGAGAAATAGTATTTCTAATGTGGTGTAGGAAGTGCTATAATACGGGTATGAATTGAAGCTCAAAATTCATTTTTATCAAAAATAGTGGAGCTTGTCAATCTGCAAATCAAATGAGTTAAAGCTGTGAAATATAGGAAAAATTTCATAACCTCTCTTGGCCTTTAGTTGCTCCACCAGTAAGAGACATTTAGAAGAGACCACCTGTAAAGCTTAATGTTCTAATTATACTGTTTTATATAGCTTCAATTTTCCTAATAGTTCAAAAATTTCTGTTTCATAAAGAACAGCTCTAAAGGTATATTTCTTCCATAACTTTTTCTATCAAAAATTTATCTCCCCTGCATATCCTTGTTAATTTTCTGTCTTGTTGATCTGTCTAATATGGGCAGCAGAGTGTTAAAGTCTCCCAATATTATTGTGTGGGAGTCTAAGTCTCTTTGTAGGTCTCTAAGAACTTGCTTTATGAATCTGGGTGATCCTGTATTGGGTGCATATATATTTAGGATAGTAGCTCTTTTTGTTTCATTGATCGCTTTACCATTATGTAATGCCTTTCTTTGTCTTTTTTGATCTTTGTTGGTTTAAAGTCTGTTTTATCAGAGACTATGTTTGCAGGCCCTGCTTTTTATTTTTCTTTCTCTTTGCTTGGTAAATATTCTTCCATCCCTTTATTTTGAGCCCATGTGTCTCTGCACAGGAGATGGGTCTCCTGAATACAGCACACCGATGGGTCTTTACTCTACCCAATTTGCCAGTCTGTGTCTTTTAATTGGGGCATTTAGCCCATTTATATTTAAGGTTAATATTGTTATGTGTAAATTAGATCCTGTAATTATGATGCCAGCTAGTTATTTTGCCAATTAGTTGACGCAGTTTCTTCATAGTGTTGATGGTCTTTACAATTTGGTATGTTTTTGCAGTGGCTGGTACCAGTTTTTCCTTCCCATATTTAGTGCTTCCTTCAGGAATTCTTGTAAGGCAGGCCTGGTGGTGACAAAATCTCTCAGCATTTGCTTGTCTGTAAAGGATTTTATTTCTCCTTCACTTATGAAGCTTAGTTTGGCTAGATGTGAAATTCTGGGTTGAAAATTCTTTTCTTTAAGAATGTTGAATATTGGCCCCTACTCTCTTCTGGCTTATAGGGTTTCTGCAGAGAAATCCACTGTTAGTCTGATAGGCTTCTCTTTGTGGGTAACCCAACCTTTCTGGTTGCTCTAAATATTTTTTCCTTCATTTCAACCTTGGCGAATCTGACAATTATGTGTCTTGGGGTTGCTCTTCTCGAGGAGTGTCTTTGTGGTGTTCTCTGTATTTCCTGAATCTGAATGTTGGCCTGTCTTGCTAGGTTGGGGAAGTTCTCCTGAATAATATCCTGAAGTGTGTTTTCCAACTTGGTTCCATTCTTTCCGTCACTTTCAGGTACACCAATCAAATGTATGATTGGTCTTTTCACATAGTCCTATATTTCTTGGAGGCTTTGTTTGTTCCTTTTCATTCTTTTCTCTCTAATCTTGTCTTCAAGCTTATTTCATTAAGTTAATCTTCAATCTCTGATATCCTTTCTTCTGCTTGATCGGTTTGGTTATTGATACTTGTGTATGCTTCACAAAGTTCTTGTGCCGTGTTTTTCAGCTCCATCAGGTCATCATGTTCTTCTCTCAAGTGGTTATTCTAGTTAGCAATTCATCTAACCTTTTTTCAAGGTTCTTAGCTTCCTTGCATGGGGTTAAAACATGCTCCTTTAGCTTGGAGGAGTTTGTTATTACCCACCTTCTGAAGCCTACTTCTGTCAATTCGTCAAACTCATTCTCCATCCAGTTTTGTTCCCTTACTGGTGAGGAGTTGTGATCTTTTGGAGAAGAAGTGTTCTGGTTTTTGGAATTTTCAGCCTTTTTGTGCTGATTTCTCCCCTTCTTTGTGGATTTATCTATCTTTTGTCTTTGATGTTGGTGACCTTTGGATGGGGTTTCTGTGTCTGGACATCCTTTTTCTTGATGCTGATGCTATTCCTTTCTGTTTGTTATTTTTCCTTCTAACAGTCAGGCCCCTCTGCTGCAGGTCTGCTGGAGTTTGCTGGAGGTCCACTCCAGACCCTGTTTGCCTGGGTATCACCAGTGGAGGCTGCAGAACAGGAAAGATTGTTGCCTGTTCCTTCCTCTGGAAGCTTTGTCCCAGAGGAGCACCAGCCAGATTCCAGCTGGAGCTCTCCTGTATGAGGTGTCTGTCGACCCCTCCCAGGAGGTGTCTCCCAGTCAGGTGCCACTGGGATCAGGTATCCACTTGAGGAGGCAGTCTGTCCCTTAGCAGAGCTGAAGCACTGTGTGGGGAGATTTGCTGCTCTCTTCAGAGCCAGCAGGCAGGAATGTTTAAATCTGCTGAAGCTCTGCCCAAAGAGAAGCAATCTATAGAGGCAGTCTGGCTACAGCAGCTTTGCCAAGCTGCAGTGTGCTCCACCCAGTTTGAACTTCCCTTCCCGGTGGCTTTGTTTACATTGTTAGGGGAAAACCGCCTACTCAAGCCTTGGTAATGGTGGACACCCCTCCCTGCACCAAGTACAAGCTCCCAAGTCAACTTTAGACTGCTGTGCTGGTAGCGAGAATTTCAAGCCAGTGGATGTTACCTTTTTGGGCTCCATGGGGGTGGGATGCACTGAGCTAGACCACTTGGCTCCCTGGCTTCAGCCCTCATTCCAGGGGAGTGAACAGTTCTGTCTCACTGGCATTCCAGGTTCCACTGGGGTAGGAAAAAAAACTCCTGCAGCTAGCTCAGTGTCTGCCCAAACAGCTGCCCAGTTTTGTGCTTGAAACCCAGGGCCCTAGTGGTGTAGGCACCCAAGGGAATATCCTAGTCTGTGGGTTGCGAAGACCATGGGAAAAGCATAGTATCTGGGCCGGAATGCACCATTCCTCATGACACAGTTCCTCACAGCTTCCCTTGGCTAGGGAAGGGAGTTCCCTGACCCCTTGCACTTCCCTGGTGAGGCAATGCCCCGCCCTGCTTTGGCTTGCCCTCCATGGGCTGCACCCACTGTCTAATCAGCCCCAGTGAGATGAGTGGGGTTCCTCAGTTGGAAATACAGAAATCACCCACCTTCTGCGTAGATCTCGCTGGGAGCTGTAGACTTGAGCTGTTCCTATTTGGCCATACTCCACCTCCTCTTCCATGCTCATGGATAGGAAGAATCAATATCGTAAAAATGGCCATACTGCCCAAAGTGATTTATAGACTCAATGCTACTCCCATCAAGCTACCATGGATTTTCTTCACAGAATTAGAAAAAACTACTTTAAATTTCATATGGAACCAAAATAGAACCTACATAGCCAAAACAATCCTAAGCAAAAAGAGCAAAGCTGGAGGTATGATGCTACCTGACTTCAAAGTATACTACAAGGCTATAGTAACCAGAACAGCATGGTACTAGGACCAAAACAGAGATATAGACCAATGGAACAGAACAGAGGCCTCAGAAATAATGCCACACATCTACAACCATCTGATCTTTGACAAACCTGACAAAAATAAGCAATGGGGAAAGGATTCCCTATTTAATAACTGGTGTTGGGAAAACTGGCTAGCCATATGCAGAAAATTGAAACTGGACCCATTCCTTACACTTCATACAAAAATTAACTCAACATGGATTAAAGACTTAAATATTAGACCTAAAACCTTAAAAATGCCAGAAGAAAAGCTAGGCAATACCATTCAGGACATAGGCATGGGCAACGACTTCATGACTAAAACACCAAAACCAATGGCAACAAAAGCCAAAATTGACAAATGGGATCTAATTAAACCAAAGAACTTCTGCACAGCAAAATAAACTATCATTAGAGTGAATAGGCAACTTACAGAATGGGAGAAAATTGTTGCAATCCATCTGACAAAGAGCTAATATCCAGAATCTACAAGGAACTTAAACAAATTTACAAGAAAAATCAAACAACCCCATCAAAAACTGGGTAAAGGATATGAACAGATACTTCTCAAAAGAAGACATTTATGCAGCCAAAAAAACATATGAACAAAAGCTCATCATCAATGGTGATTAGAGAAATGCAAATCAAAACCACAATGACATACCATCTCACACCAGTTAGAATGGCGATCATTAAAAAGTCAGGAAACAACAGATGCTGGAGAGGATGTGGAGAAATACGAACACTGTTACACTGTTGTTGGGAATGTAAATTAGTTCAACCATTGTGGAAGACAGTGTGGCGATTCCTCAAGGATCTAGAACCTGAAATACCATTTGACCCAGCAATCCCATTACTGGGTATATACCCAAAGGATTATAAATCATTCTATTATAAAGGCACATGCACACGTATGTTTATTGCAGCACTGTTCACAATAGAAAAGACTTGGAACCAACCCAAATGCCCATCGATGGTAGACTGGATAAAGAAAATGTGGCACATATACACCATGGAATACTATGCAGACATACAAAAGGATGAGTTCATGTCCTTTGCAGGGACATGGATGAAGCTGGAAACCATCATTCTCAGCAAACTAATACAGGAAAAGAAAACCAAACACCGCATATTGTCACTCATAAGTGGGAGTTGAACAATGAGAACACATGGACAGACGGAGGGGAACATCACACACCAGGGCCTGTTGGTGAGTGGAGGGCTAGGGGAGGGATAGCATTAGGAGAATACCTAATGTAGATGATGGGCTGATGGGTGCAGCAGATCACTATGACACATGTATACCTATGTAACAAACCTGCATGTTTTGCAGATGTATCCCAGAACTTAAAGTATATGTAAAAAAAAAATTCCCTTTTTTCCAGCAAAGTCCAGACTCTCATTTAGGCTATATCCCTCTTGCTTCTCAGTCTGCCTGAACTGAATGAAGTACATACCTATCTCCAGAACAAATGTGTAATCTTGACTGGTCCATCAGCACATTAAATCCTCTCACACACACACAATTCAGGGATTCATACACGACACAAAGCAGGCCAATCAGGGGAAACAAAACTCAGTTCTGTGGCTTCTGTTTGAGTCACTGCTGAAGCAGAAATGTTTCTTTTGTTTTTTAATGTCATGGCTCTGAAGATACTGAGCACTGTAATGGAACTGTGAATGTACTACCCAGATGAGGTAGAGCTGAGATGGAGTCTGTGGTGAGCTCTTTAATCCAGCACTTCTGAAAGAGCTCAACCCCTGGACTTCTCAGATTATATGTACACATGGGTACTTTTTAAAAAAACTTAGGCCTGTTTGAGAGGAGATTTCTATCTCTAACAACTGAAAGAGCCCTAACTTTCATAAGGTTTATCTATACAGGCATTCTAATTCTAAATCTTCAGATAGCAAAGGCAGTCACACTATCTATCTATCTATCTATCTATCTATCTATCTATCTATCTATCTATCTATCTATTATCTATCTATCTATCTACCTATCAATATCTTTCTACCTACCTACCTACCTACTTATCTATCTACCTATCATCTATCTACCTACTTACCTGTCATCTATCTACCTACCTAATCTATTATCTACCTACCTATTGTCTACCTACCTAATCTATTATCTACCTACCTATTGTCTACCTACCTAATCTATTATCTACCTACCTACCTATTATCTATCTTATCTATCTATCTATCTATCTATCTATCTATCATCTATCTATTTATCACCTATCTACCTGTCATCTATCTATCTGTCTTTCTATCTATCTGATATCCATGGTATACAGGAACAATTGCATAAAACTGAATTGAAATTTTGATCCTTAAGAAACAATACTTTCTGCAGCACACCAACATGGCACATGTATACATATGTAACAAACCTGCACGTTGTGCACATGTACCCTAAAACTTAAAGTATAATAATAATAAAATTTAAAAAAAAAAAAACAATACTTTCTCCAGATTGATACATTTAACTAGAGAGTTCTGTGTGGACTATATTTATCTTCTTTAGATCTTATTTGGTTTAATCTTTACCATATAAAAGGATTATAAAAATATAATCGTTAAAATATCTCAGTTCACTTTTAAAGTTAAAGAACAACTGGTGAACCAGGTTAGCCATCTTTTCCTCCTTATTCAAAAATCAGAGCCTTAAGAATACTACAAATATAGACCAAAAAAACCTAAGAATATCTTTAATGAAGTGACTCATTATATGAGTACTATGCTTAATATTATCATAAATAATATTAATAGCATTTAGAAAAGAGGGCAAAAGACTACTTATTTTTCATAATTAATTATTGTTAAATATTTTGAATTAGCCATTGTAATTACATATTATACCAATTTATGAAATTCCCATTTTCTTTTTCTGACAGGCTCAAGTTTGCTGACATTTAAGGCACTGAAAGTACCTCATCTTCTCATATGTACTCCCTCTTAGTAGGAGATCTTTTTAGGAAGCAGCTTTATTTATTATTAAAAGTTTGAATATTTTATAAAACATTAATGACTTTGATAGCTCTAGGTATTCAATAAGATATTTTGCACTATTTGCACCCTGGGACAATCCTCTCAAAAAGTGAAATTTTATAAACCACATGGATAAAAGTACATAAATAAATGTGGCATTCTTATTTTTCTCAGGTAACAGAAAGCAAAATTACCCTGTTCTAGCCTACATATTTGAACAGTAAGTAGAATCATAATATCTTCAACAGCTTGGCCATCTGTTATTGTTCCAAAAAGCTTCAGGGAATAGTCTGTGTAATGGAATGTAAAACATTATCAACTGCTATGGTCTGAAACGTTGTGAAATAGAATCTGTAAAACTTTGTAGCCAGATAAACCAATTCAGAAAAATAAAAAGTGAGCATAGAACCAAAATTTGGGAAAAATAAAAGGTAGGTTTGTTTATATCTAAACTTAAGTATTTAAAATGAATATACTGATACTGACAGCCAGTGTTGGTTGAGTATTCATTAGGTACCAAGTACTATTCTAAGTGGTTTTCTTGAATGAGCTTTCTTAAGCCTCACAACAATTCTCTAGGGCATGTTACTATGCTTGTTTTATGAACTAGAAAATTGAGAAAAAGGGAGATTAAATAATTTGCCCAAGACCAACAGTTAGAAATGGCAGGCTAAGGACTTCTGAAAATCTATTTCAGCATAAAGGCAATGACCACTAGCAAAATTTGTCAGAATCAACTTTTGCAGAACTCTAGAAATTAACGAAAAAGAAATCTTTTTTTTAAGAAAAGTGACTAAATCTTGATAAGAATGTGAGCTTTGTGACGTTTTGAATTGTCCTATAGCAATTCTTCTCAGCTGCATGACAGACTTGAAAACCAGCAGCCTTGCAATCACAGTAGCTGTGAGAAAAAGCAACTTTGCAACCACCAAAGAGGGGGACACTGGGTTTGGAGCTCCTAAAAAAACTCGATTCCAAGAGCATTGCCACTATGTTAGCTGTTAGGAATCTCCCTGAAAAAGCACCCTTTCTAGGATTTGTCTTTACTCAAGCTGACTCCCTACTGTCCCCAGGAAAAGCCATATCAAAGAATCAGCAGCAATTATTAACCATTGCATCTTCCAGAGGCTGTGATGCTAATTGTGGCAAACAGGAAGCAAGATATAGGGTTTTTTTTAATATATTCTAAATTTTCCCAACTTTCCTGTTTATCTTTGTCTCTTTCCTGCACTCTAGCATGCACATGTGTGCACGCACACACACACACACACACAAACACATGCACACATCACCTTCTTCCTTTAGCTGGAAAACTTGCATAGATCTACTCATGCACATAAAAGGCCTCAGATATCACTAGTCCACTAGGTCCGCCAAGATGAATCTAGTCTGCTCCTAGCTGACACTCTGCTGCACCCATGTCACCATGTTCTTTGCATGGCATCACCTTATCTTGATATGTTTCAAAGAAATTCAAACCTACCACTGGCACCAGGGAAATGCTTTTATCTCTCTATCTCAACTGTCCTGAAAGTATGTGTGTGTAAAGAACTCCATACTGTAAACATATTATTACTGGGATCTGTTTTTTGAATGTATCATAGAGAACACATGATATATACAATATCTTGATAAACGATACCATAAAATGATTCTCGTTTCTCATCATTACAAACATCAGCATGGCATGAGGTTAATAAAGGAATGACATCTGTATTATCTAAAATTAAGTCTACTAACTATATTTATAAGCTAAAAAGTCAGCCTGCCACAGTGATAGGTAGATAGATAGATAGATAGATAGATAGATAGATAGAGATAGACAGATATAGATAGATAGATAGATAGATAGATAGATATAGATAGATAGATAGATAGATAGATAGATAGATAGATAAATAGATGCTCTTCTGGTAATAAACACAAAGTGTCTAGATTAGAAAACAGATAGTTGAATATTCACAGAGCATCTTAGCACTGAGAAGGCTATGAGAGACTAATGTTATCCTGCACAGACAAGAGTTGAGTATACCACCATGGACTCACAAACTATGACACTTGGAGTTTGGCTGGCACATTGACCCATCCTTTCCTCAGGTGAGGGAGAGTCTTTTATTTTGCGATGTTAGCAAATGTTTACAGGGGAGACGTCTCTAAACCTCTCTGAAGCAACCTACTATCTCTATCTTCCAAGATACATTTGCTATTCAACCCTACTTTAACCAAGTTTGCCAGTGGTCTTTCCTCAAAAAGATTGGACTGTGTGGTAATCTGAAAATATTTCATGGAGAATTGCCTCTCAATAATCAAATCCAGGGATTGACACCAACCTAGTGACTTTCCCTGATTTACTCTACAGCTTTTGGTATTGAATAATGAAAGGTTGAGGGATGAATACAAAGGAAGCTTCTTATCCCACAGGAAAAAATTAAAATGCTTTATTTGCCAATATTGACATTTTCATTAAACAAATGAATGACATTCATAATTATTACCTTAATTAAAACTATCAGAACTTTTGAGAGTATTCATTTACGGACAGTAAGAAGGTACTCAATTGTATTTTCAGATTATAGTACTCTACTTGAAAATAAGTTATTTTAACATTTTAGCCCCATATATTTTCTTGAAAAGGCACAACAAAAATGATCACATCAGCAGAGATTATTTCTTTCATCATTAAAGAGGCAATACATTATTACAGTGTATAAATTCTACTCAGACAAGGCTATTTCATTTAATCCTCACTAACCCCTCCCTACTCTCCAGGAAGACAAAATATTACATAAATACAATGAACTTTATTTACCTTAATATAGTAAAAACATACCATAATCTCTGGGACACAGCTAAAGTAGTGTTTAGAGTGAAATTTATAGGACTAAATGCCCACAGGAGAAAGCAAGAAAGATGTAAAATCGACACCGTAACATCACAATTAAAAGAACTAGAGAAGCATGAGCAAACAAGTTCAAAAGCTAGCATAAGACAAGAAATAACTAAGATCAGAGCAGAACTGAAGAAGACAGAGACATGAAAAACCCTTCAAAAAATCAATTAATACAGGAGCTGATTTTTTGAAAAGATTAACAAAATAGATAGACCACTAGCCAGACTAATAAAGAAGAGAGAAGAATCAAATAGACACAATAAAAAATGATAAAGGGGATATCTCCACTCATCCCATAAAAATACAAACTACTATCAGAGAATACTATAAACACCTCTATGCAAATAAACTAGAAAATCTAGAAGAAATTGATAAATTCCTGGACACATACACCCTCCCAAGACTAAACCAGGAAGAAGTTGAATCCCTGAATAGATCGATTACAGGTTCTGAAATTAAGGCAGTAATTAATAGCTTACCAATCAAAAAAAGCCTAGGACCAGATGGATTCACAGCTGAATTCTACTAGAGGTACAAAGAAGAGCTGGTACCATTCTTTATGAAACTATTCCAAACAATAGAAAAAGAGGGACTTCTTCCTAACTCAGTTTCAGAGACCAGCATCATCCTGATACCAAAACCTGGCAGAAAAACAACAAAAAAAGAAAATTTCAGGCCAATATTCCTGATGAACATCAATACAAAAATCCTCAACATAATACTGGCAAACCAAATCCAGCAGCATATCAAAAAGCTTATCCACCACCATCAAGTCGGCTTCATCCCTGGGATGCAAGGCTGGTTCAACACACGCAAATCAATAAACGTAATCAATCACATAAACAGAACCAATGACAAAAAACACATGATTCTCTCAGTAGATGCAAAAAAAGGCCCTCGATATAACTCAACACCCCTTCATGCTAAAAACTCTCAGTAAACTAGGTATTGATGGAACATATCTCAAAATAATAAGAGCCATTTATGACAAACCCACAGCCAATATCATATTGCATGGGCAAAAGCTGGAAGTATTCCCTTTGAAAACCAGCACAAGACAAGGATGCCCTGTCTCACCACTCCTATCCAACATAGTATTGGAAGTTCTGGCCAGGGCAATCGAGCAAGAGAAAGATATAAAGCGTACTCAGACAGGAAGAGAGAAAGCCAAATTGTCTCTGTTTGCAGATGACATGATTGAATATTTAGAAAACCCCATTGTCTCATCCCAAAATGTCCTTAAGCTGATAAGCAACTTCAGTAAATCTCAGGATACAAAATCAATGTGCAAAAATCACAAGCATTCCTATACACCAATTATGGCCAAACCAGCTAAACCAAGCTGTGAGCTATAGCACACAGAACTATAGAGACAGCTAGGAAACTGGTATAAACCTGTGTCTCTCCAACAGTTTCAGCAACACAATTGTTGAATGAAAATAAAAATGCACTTTCTTCTAAACTTTTTATTGATATACCTGATCACAATTCCTTTCACTTAGAAGAAACAACTTTATTTTAAATAATGACATTTACATATGAAACAAGAAAATTAAATTATCTTTTATGTGAGGTCATCTTAATTTTCTTTTGATATATATTTTTTGACATACATTATTTCTGCCAATTTTGTCTTTACAAGCATTCTGTAAGGAAGATGCTCTTCTCATAGGATCCTTCAGGTGTCGCTTTTCTGTCCAGAAACCTCTGTGGTCGGTGGTGCCTTTGTCTGAATTTTGCTTTGGCCCACTGTGCTTGATGTGCCCACTCGGCCTGGCAGCCTGAACTCAGCTTGCGTGACAAACCTGGATCCCATGCCTGCCAAGGGTGAGCCAGGCACAGAGCGGTGAGGATTGTGTGAATGAGCAAGCATGGGGTCCAGCCACTGCCCACAGCCAGGCACTCTGGCTGCAGCAGGGTGGGCAGTGCCAGGCACCAGCTCCCTGCAAGGCTGTGGCTGGATGAGGCACACTGCAAGTAGCTTCCATGGCTGGCACCAGGGAATGTGGTGGCACCCAGAAACTTGGAGATGCCAGGAACCACAGAACCCCAAAAAGGGCATCACAGCCCTGGCTCAGGGTGCTCCCAGGTCTGGGTTGTCTGAAGGGCTGAAACTCTTCTCTCCTTCTTTCTTATCTTTTTCTTGTTGCCTGCCATGTGGCAAGCAGGGGGTGTATTTCAGCCCTGTTTGTGTTACATCTCTTTCAGCCCCACCATTCGGCAGGTCCCAAGTTCTTGTACTGCATCCAGGAAGAATGAGTTATGCAGACAAGTAGAGGGTGAGCAAGGTGAAGAGGTACTTTATTGAGCAACAGAACAGCTCAGAGGAGACCCACAGTGGTTAGCTCCTCTCCATAGGCAGGTCATCCCAATATCTGTTCAGCTGTCAGCAGAAAGGAGACCCACAGTGGGTAGCTCCTTTCTGCAGGCTGATTGTCCCGTTGTCCACTCAGCTCTCAGGAGACAGGAGACCCACAATGGGTAGTTCCTTTCTGTAGGCAGGCCATCCCATCATCTGCTCAAGTCTGGCTGAGTCCAAGATTTTTATGGGCTTAAGAGGGGAGAAAGTAGGTGCTGATCGGCCCGTGAGCAGTCATGGGAGGCCCCAGAGCAAGCTCCATTAAGTTCTCACTCCATGGCAGCCCTCCGGCAGGCTTCAGGCCGTCCCTGGCCTGAAGATGGGGCTTTACTGGGGATCTGCTCCTTTCTGCCCAGGAGCCTGTTTGCATCCTACCACCATTAACCTGCTCTCCATGGTGCCTATGGTGCCCTGGCTCTTTGTGCCAAGTGGTGCCTGCAAGACTGCGCTGAGCCACCCTTAGCCCCCACCTCACCCTCCCTCCCATGTTTGTGAGCACCCAAAATCTGGAGGAGGCTGAGGTGATAGGGGGCTGGTGTTTCAGTGCTGCCCCAAGCGTGCACACACCCAGCCGAGTCGTGACAGCCCCCAGGCTTGGCCACAACTTTGCTCTGAAATTGGAGTGGGCACTGGGAATGGGCAGAGGTCAGGCAGCGAGAGCAGGCACTTTTGAGCCTGAAGGGGCAAGGGTGTTTCCTGGGGCCCTGAGAGTGCAGTGATGCCTGAGTCCACAGCTGGCTGCTCTGCCACAGCTGCCCCTGGGAGGGCAGGGCTCCAGCTCCTCCAACTTGGAAGGGGGCATGGCTTCCACCTGTTCCCGGCTCCCACCAGTTCTATGGAGCACTCAGCCCTGGCTGTGCCTCCCCCATTGTAGCCAGTGTCATGCAGCGGCCACTCAAGGTGGGCCGCCGCTGCCATCAGTATTGCTCTGTCAATGATAGAAACAGTAAACATGGTATTCACGTAAGGAAATAAAGCACAGTGAAGTTGAAAAAGATACTCTTAAATAGCTTTTACAGCAGGCATCATGGGACCATAAGTACCCGTGTTCTGTTGGCAAGAGACCAGAGAGACAGGACGGCCAAGACACTGTAAACCTTGGAACTTTGGGTGAGTTTTCTCAGCTATAAAATGGTGATAATGATACCTATCTCACAGGGTTCTGTTACATGGGTCAAATAGAAATACAGAAAACCATTATGTTTTATTATTATAGTTTCTGGGAAAGAGATGATTTTAAAATTTTGTAATATGGTTTACCAATAACCTGATGTTAGGAAAATTCTGAGAATCATCATTTGGGATTGTGTTTCTGGCCTTCAAAATGCTCCTCATTTTTAACCATTCCCTGAAAAACTCATGTTGCCAATCAAATCTGAATTACTGCCTGCCTATACAGGCCACTCTCCCCAAAACAGACTGCCTTTTAACCATGATTCGAGATTTAGTTTTCATAATAGGAAATAACAGTTTTGCAGCATGGTCTGGCAGAGCTTTAAAGAACAGCTTCAATCAGGCTGAGATGTGCTTTTACTAACCATATTTCCTGTAGCTGCACAGACAATGAGAAAGCACTTCTGTGAGCAGAACCAATTATAAGTGAACAGGTACACTTTTTCCCAAGCCTGGTCATGATGTCAAATGCTTGATTAGAAAAGTCTTGTGCTTTTAGCTAAATGGGGGTAGATTTCTTTCCATTTGCAAAAACAAGCCATTTCCACCTTTCATTCCACAGCCTCTCAACATCTAAATTCTCATTTCTCAACGGCAAATAGAGTCACAAATGTAACCCCTTGAAATAAGGGAAACAATATTGTGATATTTGTTCGAAAACAAATTGAGTTAGTTTCAGGAAGGAATAGTCTGCACTATTGCACAGAATCAAAAGCATTGTGTGATCCTGGAGAGAACAGGGACAAGCTACAAGCAGACAATGGGTCCCAGTTGAGGAAACATTGGGACGGATTTGGCAGCCATGAAGAGGAATCTCAACAAGAGTGACAAATAAGGGAAAACTTTAAGATCAAATGGATTAAAAAGCTGGTGGGGAACCTCCATGTGCATATCTGATAGAATGACACAACCACAGTAAATCAGGTTTTGGAAGTGCAGGACTGAAGTGGAGGAGTTGTGATTCTGAACAGAGGCAGTTCCTGGGAAAATCCTCCCAGAGAAGGTAAGAAAAGATAAAAACAGGAACCAAGTTTCTACTACATGCAGGATTAAGAAGAGAAAGCAGGCCCCATGAAATCAAGCATTACAGACAAGGACTTCTATTTGGGTGCCAAGGACAAAGAAACAGGGAATGCACCAAGAAGACTACCATCCCTCAAAATACCGCAGGCTCACTTGGGGTCTTTCCTGTTTCCTGTCTTTAAAATTTTTCAGCTATAGCAAAGCAACCTGTAGATATTTCAAGGAACTCAACTGAATTTTTTTGTTTAAAATGTATTATTCAACACTTAACTGGCCAGTGCATAAGTACAGAATCACAGATTGATAGAATATTTAACTAGAAGAAATAGTACTGATCATTTACTCTAACCTCATTTTATAAGCAAGGACACTAAGATTATCCCAGACCACAGAGCAAACTATTTACAGAGCCAGGGCGAGAACCATATTCTCCAAATTTCCAGATAAAGTTGTTGTTGGCTTTCCCACTATAGTTATCTAACTCCAGATTAAACTTTCAACATTTTCCCCCAAAAAAGCATCGTATTTAAAGCCTAAAAGAAGATCATTCTGTTAATAACAGAACCCAGGTAGAAATAAGCTAAATTTTAAGTCAGAATTGGAGAAGTTATAAAATGAAGATTACTTAATGAGAGTAAGAGGGAAAATGCAACCAGAAAGAAACACTTTTGGCTTTGCACTTAAAGCAGATGTAGAATTAACCATTTCTTATTATCTCCATTGCTATCTTCCTAGCCCATAGCAATATTAAGACGGCAATGTTCTTCTAACTGGACTTTCTGTTTCCATTCTTGCTCCACTAGTGTCTAACCTCAACACAAAAGCCAAAATGAGCCCTTTAAGATGTAAGTCAGTTTATGTCATTTCTCCACTCAATTCTCTAATTGTTTCATCTTTCATGAAAAATTAAGCCAAGATTACTACAACAACCTCAAGGACCTACACAATCTGCTTCCCAAATTTCCTCTCTGATGTCATCTCCTTTTATCAGTTTCAGTCGCAATATTTCAGCCTTCTGACCTGCTGGTTGAATCATTTTTATTTAATACAGGGTCTTAGTATGTTGTCCATGCTGGTCTTCTACTTCAGCACCCTGAGTAGCTGGGACTGTGCCACTATGCCTGTCTCTGCCTGTCTTGAACACATTAGACACAGTCCTGCCTTAATGTGTTTATTATCTCTTTCCTCTGTCTGGAACATTTCCTCTCACTATGCACATCTCATCTTACCAATTCATGTCTTTGTACAAATGTCATCTTCTCAGTAAGGTACACCTTGATATTCTTTCAAAAATTATTCTACACCCCTTAAACTCTTAGTCCTTACCTCTTGCTCTATTTTTATAGCACTCTTAATGCTCTAACATTTACCTGATCATTTAGCTGTATCATTTACTTCCAAGACAAAGTAAACATTAAGAGGAGTATCAGACCATTTACGGAGGTGTTTTATTACTGATGAAAATGTAACACAAAAAAACAGTATGTAAAATATAATAACCAACAGATATTTGCAGAAAGAAAGACTTGACGGAAAGCAGATGTTCATCATGTTAAAATACATAATCTTTGGTTTTATTCAGATGTGAGAATATAAATTCTGTACCATAGACAGTTCCATAGCATTGAAAGTTCCTAATGCTCAAGGAGATGACCTGATATCTCCCACGAGTTTATAGATATGTCAGAAGTACACCAGAAATTGTTAGAAACATACACATGGCTTTCATGAGAAGATTTAGCTAAATAGAATAGAAAACCATTTGCCAAGATCGGAAAACCAAGTATCATAAAAATTCAAATTCTCCCAAATTAATATGCTTAATATAATTGCAATCAAAAATCTCACCAGATTTGTATTATTATTATTATTATTTTTTGAGATGGAGTCTTGCTCTGTCACCCAGGCTGGAGTGCAGTGGCACGATCTCGGCTCACTGCAAGCTCTGCCTCATGGGTTCATGCCATTCTCCTGCCTCAGCCTCCTGAGTCGCTGAGACTACAGGTGCCTGCCACCACACCCGGCTAATTTTTTGTATTTTTAGTAAAGATGGGGTTTCACCTTGTTAGCCAGGACGGTCTCGATCTCCTGACCTCGTGATCTGCCCGCCTCGGCCTCCCAAAGTGCTGGGATTACAGGCGTGAGCCACCGCGCCCGGCCACCAGACTTTTTTTAGAAGTTAATAAAGTGTTTTACAGGCTCATTTGAAAGTACAGGAAGCTGAGAATCTAAGTAATTACTGATAAGAAAAAGATTAATACTAAGAAGAAGAAGAAAAAAATTAAGTTGGTGCAAAAGTAATTGCAGTTCTTGACACTGAAATTGCTTTTGCGCCAACCTAATACATATCCATATTAGGAAGTACTAGAAAGTCCTACATTGTAAGTAACTGATACTGGTTTAAGACAATTAGGTAAATCAAAGACACAGAGTAAAAAGTTGAGAAACTGCTTCCAGAAAAGACAGGTAAAGGATTGTTTAGTCAATATGTGGTACTGGGGAAATACACTAACCATTTGTGAAAATAGTTTGATCCTCACTCCATACTATATGCAAAATAAATTTTTTCACAGATTAAAAAGTTAAATAAGAAAATAAAAATTTAGAATACATTATAGTGGATCTGATTTCAAGGCAAGTTAACCTTTCTAAGATTAAAAGTATAGAACTAAATATGAGAATGAGCATTTTAATGCATTTGATTTATTATTATTATGATCATTATTAAGCAAAAAACTAATGTGGGTTGATCCTGGGTAGAAAAGCATTGATTTTGTGAGATGAAAAACCTTGAAGTGGGTTAAGGTTTAGAGTTAAGGGCCATCAGAAATTAGGGATTAGAACTTTTACTTCCTGTTCCTAGCCATTATCACCAAACCTTCAGCAAATTTATGTTCACCTACAAGTGCGTTTTTAGTGGTTCCTTAAAAAATAAAAAAGGACAAATTTAATTGATAGCTTGAGGCACTAAAGACCAGATCAACCTTATGCAGTCGGAATGCCTGTATTGAAGTGATCCAAGGTGATTGAAAACTAAAGAAGAGTGATGAGCAAGAAAGCAAAGGAGACAAAAGGAGAAAACATAAAGATCCCACATAACTTTTTGGAAATAATGGAGGAAGCATTGCCAAAACTATATGAAATTGAGAGCTTATTTGATTTTACTTAGATATTAAAGCAAAATTTGACATTCAAAGAATGACTGGAGATAATTGCATTGCACATACGTACACAGAAACACTAATATGTATAGACACGCACACATAAATACATGGGTATATACAGTATATACCCATGTTTGGTATGCAGAACACATATACATGCATACTCATCAGCAATTTATTGAGTAAGCTGAACTTTATAGTGTCTACACAAGAGCCACCTTGATTCTCACTGTTTTATATCCCTTCAAATCTCTGTGAACTAGTGGTTATTCTAACTCTGCATAAAATCATGGGGAAATCCCATAGTCTTTAGTGAGTACATGGTTCATAAAAATCCACTTGACTCCAGCTCAGTTTAGCATACTAACAAAGCTCAGAATCCTTCTCTAAGTCAAGGCTTCTTCCTGCTGTAGCTTAATCCCACTTGAGTTTTTTAAGTCTACAGAAGAGAAGCAAGTATGTTTGGCTGCTTAATGATGTGCTCTCTTCAACTCCTGCATCCGTGCACTAACCTTTCTTTTTTGACTTCTCCAGCTTAGGGCCTTGGGAGAAAGTGGAATAAGAAGAAAGGATATACACTCTTGAATCACTAATATCTTTATAATGTTGAAATGGCAGGAGTCAAAAACTAACCCTTTTTTTCATAGGTCACTTCTTCAGACTAATGGGAAACCATCCCATTGAGAACCACACAAGTTTCTTTGACTAAGGCTAAGAATGTACCACTACCACCCTCAGTGCTTCTACTCCAGGAAATATATGCACTAGTCAAGGTCCCTTTCAATCTCTCAAGTTCACACCTTGTCTTCAGAGAACCCACACCTTCATTCTGCTATTGACATAAGTGCAGTTTTCTTTCAAAATAACTTACCCCAGGCAAAGGGAAGCTCTAGTCACAGCCTCTTACCTTTAGATTTTGCAGATATGGGTCAAAGGCCAGCTCCTATTTTCTTCCAACTCCTACAGCTCATTGGCAAGACCTCCAAATGGATCACCTGAAGATCCCATCACATAACTTGAAGTGAGGGAGAAGAACCCAACATCTCTTACCCATAATGCCAGGGACTAAAAATTCACAGGATATGGTTAACAACCATCTGTAAAACAATCTTCTCTCTTTATTTTGCTAACTTCTCAATGTTTCTCTAATTTATCTGAGGTGAAAGAAAAGCACTTAAAGAACACTTGCTCCTTGCTTCCAAGATGGGAGACTAGCTAATACTGCTGGCATCAATTATAGGACCTTCACCTTCCAAGTCCTGCATACACAGTTCTGCAGCTCACTTTAAAATGTGGGGGTTCACAGGCATTTTGTTCTCAGGCTTTGGTTTCTCATGCTTTGGGTTCCCAGGATGAAGAGTCAGTGAAACAATCTGTTAGACTACACACATGTGTACATACGCATATGTGTTCATACGTCACTTTATCACAGACACAGATGAATACAGAATCATGCACGTATGTGTGTCTGAGTCTATATGTGTATGAATAACGGAAATATAATATTGACAGTACAAAATATTAATATGATGAAAGTGCTCCTGATTTTATTTTCCTCTTTCATTTTTCTCTTTTCTAAAATAGCGTGCCTTACTCTTAAAACCACAAGTGTATATTTATATGCAAACACATAACAGTGGATCTTATTTTAAAGTTGTGATATTAGTTCAAAAAAATAAAAGATCACTGAAAATGACTAAGTAGTTAAGAAACAGAATTTTTTTTTTCTTTTATTATTATACTTTAAGTTTTAGGGTACATGTGCACATTGTGCAGGTTAGTTACATATGTATACATGTGCCACGCTGGTCTAAATAAAGGATGGTTTCGAATTCTAGCTTACACTCTGAGTAGTAGTTCTCTTTCTTCAGATCTTTCATGAACTATGATCACACATTTAAAATAAGATTCATAATTATTCTCTGAGCTTCAGTGTTCATGTCTTGGGAATATTAATAACACTCATAGGGATATGGAAAGAATTGAATGAGAACTATTTAGTTACTTAAATGTTAGTGAGCCCCCAATAAATGGTTGTTTAAAAAAGTAACAAAATTCCAATTGAAAAATTAAAGACGGCCGGGCGCGGTGGCTCACGCCTGTAATCCCAGCACTTTGGGAGGCCGAGGCGGGCGGATCACGAGGTCAGGAGATCGAGACCATCCTGGCTAAAACGGTGAAACCCTGTCTCTACTAAAAAAATACAAAAAATTAGCTGGGCGTGGTGGCGGGCGCCTGTAGTCCCAGCTACTCGGGAGGCTGAGGCAGGAGAATGGCGTGAACCCGGGAGGCGGAGCTTGCAGTGAGCTGAGATTGTGCCACTGCAGTCCAGCCTGGGCGACAGAGCGAGACTCCGTCTCAAAAAAAAAAAAAAAAAGAAAGAAAAAAGAAAAATTAAAGACTCAGAAGAGAATAAAGTATTTGCAGGCTGCAAAAATTTAATATAGCCAAATACTAAATGTATAAACGTGAGGCAAGGTATGAAGGTAGAAAGGCTTGAGAAATAAATAATGGACAGGCGATAAACTATTGAAAAGAAAGCCACAACACGTTCTCAGCAAGAGAGATACATGGTAAGATTTTCTTTTTAGAATTATCAAATTGTCAGTAATGTGGATAATAAATTTAAGTGTGGTGATCAAAAACAAAAAGACTAGTTAAGAGATGGTCTCAATAATCCAGACAAGAAATGATGAAGACCTGAAGTAAGGAAGTATATATATTCAAGAGATGTCAAAGAAATAGAATCTACAGGATTTGATGATTGACAAATGCAAACAGGAATAAAAAAGGAAGGACTGTTCCTACATATTTGGTTTAGGCAAGTCAGTAGATGGTGGTGGCATTTGCAAAGATAAGAAATGAGAACCCCATTGGTAATCTTTCTTTCTTTCTTTCTCTTTCTTTCTTTCTTTCTTTCTATCTTTCTTTCTTTCTTTCTTTCTTTCTTTCTTTTTTTCTTTCTTTCCTTCTTTCTTTTCTTTCTGGACCATGTAATAGTTCTTATATTGTTCACTAGTACCCAGTTTCCCTCTACTTTCAGGCTTAAGGGAAGGTTACACTTTCACACTCGAACATACACACGGACTATGATTTTCTCTGGCCAATTAAATAAGTGCAATTGATAGAGATAGAGATCTCACATTTGTACATTATTTGTAGTTCTTGATTCTCTACCATCCTTTACCCATACCATGATAACAAGTCATATTCCCGAAGAAGGAGCCAATTGAGGATGATGTATTTCAGAAAATTTTTCCTTGACAAGTTATAAGTGACCAATTTAGTCATAATGATGTTCACAATTTTTATTAGGGGAAAAAAGCATCAATTAGCCATGGCTTGAATTTTGATTCTAAAATCACAAACGTTCTTCATAGTACTGAGTCCCTTAAAATGTTGTTCATTATTTATACCTGAAAAGCAATAATCCATACATGTGGTCTTGGAAAGTTATCCATTGTTGATGAGCTTTTTCTCATCTGTAAAATTGGGATAATAATAATTAGGGAATTAATTTCACTAGTTTTGTATGAGGACTAAATGAGTTGATGCATGTAGAAAACAGAATAGTGACTGATTCATTGTTGGCACTCAGCTAATAAAGCCCTCTGGTTCTTATATTTTAGATTTTTTAATATATTTCCTTTGTTCCTTATATTTTGGACTTCCTCAGAAAAAAAATTCCATCTTCTTCTCTCATGGGCTACCCACTCTAGCTTCATCTCACCTTCTCAAAGGACATTATTTATCACATATTTGTTGACACTTGAATCATCATCCCTAGCTTAGATTTCTTTCCTAAAGTACAGACCCATGGTAAACATCATACTAGGCATCTCAACTCAGAAATTTCAAACCAAACTAAACTGTAACCTTGCTTCTGTAAAACCATCTGCGTTGGTTAATACTGAGTGTTAACTTGATTGGATTGAAGGACACAAAGTATTCATTCTGGGTGTGTCTGTGAGGGTGTTGCCAAAGGAGGTTAACGTTTGAGTCAGTGGGCTGGGAAAGGCAGACCCACCCTTAATCTGAGTGGACACAATCAAATCAGCTTAGAGTGCAGCAGAATATAAGGAGGCAGAAAAATGGGAAAGGGGAGACTGACCTAGCTTCCCAGCCTACATCTTTCTCCTGTGCTGGATGCTTCCTGCCCTTGAACATCGGACTCCAAGTTCTTCAGTTTTGGAATTGGACTGGCTCTCCTTGCTCCTCAGCCTGAAGATGGCCTATTGTGGGACCTATATTCCATTAGTTCTGTCCCTGTAGAGAACCCTGACTAATATAGATTTTGGTAACAGGAGTGGTTCTAGAGGAAGAGGAACAGAATATTAAGGATGAAGTTCTTTCGTTGGTTTTGGGGTTTCTGGAGTTGGCTGCATAATATGATTAGATCAAAAAATGCTAAGGACTCTACTTCTAATAGTGTGGAGAACACTGAGTCCTTGGCATGAACTGTTTAGAGAGTTATGCAAAATAAATGCATTTGACATTCCTGATACATGCTCATGAGAGGCAAGGAGTTTAGTGACTCTATACATAATACCTTTGACCATATGTGGAGAACCAAGGAACCTTTGACCATACGTAGAGAATATAATGAAGCTCCTTGGTTGCTCCTAAGTTCAGTGGGCAAAGTGATGAATGAAATCGAGGATTCTATCTCCTGGCTTCAGAAGCAGATATCAAGCCTCAGATCTGCTAAGATTGCCCTGAGTCTCCTGTACAGAAAGAGCTGAAATTGTGGAAAAATAGACACAAGCTCTTATCATGTGAGTGGCTGACCTGCAACAAAAGGTACATGCACACCCTTGCCAGGTGTCTACTGTTAAAGTGAGGGTATTGACTGGAAAAGAATGGGACCCTGCAACTTGGAATGAGGACGAGTGGGAGGACCCTGAAGAAGCTGGAGACACTGAGTTTCGAAACTCTCATGAACCTTTTTTGCTTTTTTGCCAGAAGAAACAGCTTCCCCATCCCCAGTAGTGACAACATCCCCTCCTCAACCCATGCTGCCATCAGCCTTTCCACCTTTGTCTGAGGAGATAAACCCTGCGCTGCCTGAGGCAACGGTGATGGCCTCCCCTGAGGCGGTTGCCAGGCAAGATAATGTTGATTCTGCTCAGGAGCCACCCCCAACACCCCTGTGTGCTTCTAGACCTACAACTAGACAAAAGTCCTGGTGGGGCGCTAGAGGTGAGGTTGAGAGTGTGACCCATGAGGAGATGCACTACACGGGAAAAGAACTGCTTGAGTTCTCTAATTTATATAAAGAGAAATCTGGAGAACAGGCATGGGAATGGATATTAAGGGTGTGGGATAATGGTGGAAGGAACATACAGTTGGATCACCCTGAATTTGTTGATTTGGGCCCACTAAGTAGGAACTCTGCATTTAATGTTGCAGTTCGGGGAGTTAAAAAAGGTTCTAAGAGTTTATTTGCTTGGTTAGGTGAAATATAGATTAAAAGATGGCCCACTGTGAGCAAGTTGGAAATGCCTGATCTTCCTTGGTTTAATGTAAAGGAAAAGATCCAAAGGCTTAGGGAGATTGGGATGGTGGAGTGGATTAGTCACTTTAGACCTACTCATCCCAGCTGGGAGGGTCCAGAAGATATACCCTTGACCAATGCCTTGCAAAATAGATTTATGAGGGCAGCACCTGCATCTCTGAAGAGCCCTGTAATTGCGCTTTTCTGTATGTCAGATCTAACGAGGGAACCACTGTCACTCAACTACAAAATTTAAATGTAGTAGGAATAATTGGATCCTGAGGTGGCAGGGGCCAAGTGGCAGCACTGAACATCAAAGCAAAGGTGGGCGTAGCTACCATAATGGACAGCAGAGGCAAAGAGGCAATCAGAATAATCTGATGTGTGTAGAGCTCTGGCATTGGCTAATTAATCACAGTGTTCCTAGAAGTGAATTTGATAGGAAGCCTACTGCATTCCTACTTAAATTATACAAACAGAAAACTTCTAGGTCGAATGGGCAAAAGACTAATTTGAGTTATAAAAAATAGAGAATCATGGCCCTTCAATCAATTTCCAGACTTGAGCCAGTTTACAGACCCAGAACCCCTTGAATGAAGGGGAGGCCAGGACTCCTTGTGGAAGGACCCCACTACATTACCGACAATTCATGCAGTGAATCTTTCTCCCATCCTTCCCCAAGGAGACCTCTAGCCTTTTACCAGGGTAACTGTGCATTGTGGAAAGGGAAATGTTCTGTCCCTGTGGAGAACCCTGAATAATGTGCTATTCTTCTACCTATGTTCTGTGTTTTTTATTTTAATGAATTTTCTGAATGTGTTTTAATCAATTTCACCACCATCCATTCTGATGCTTATGTTAGAAATCTGGATACTTTCCTTATCTTGTACCTTTCTTATTTTCTACAATTTATCAACCATACATCCTACACCTACCATATGCTAAAATTCTCTTGAATATGTGTCTTCCATTCACAGAGGCAGGCATCCTCTCTCTTATATTATTGTTTTAGCTTCCTAACTGGTCTCCCTGCCTCTGTTTGAATTGATTATCTATGCTATAATTAGAATATTTTAATGGCTGTATTCAGGTATGATTGATGATTTTAAGTGTACAGCGCTATGATTTTAATACATTTATAGATCTGTGCAACCATTATCATAATCCAGTTTTAGAACCTTTTCATCACCCGAAAATGTTCCTCTTGTCATTTGTCATTGAGTAGGCAGTGTTATGCCTACTTATCTCTCTAGGAAAACACTGATCTGCTTTCTTTTTTTTCTAAATTTTTCTTTGCTTATTATTAAAGTGTTCATTATTCTGTGCTCCTGAACACATTAACCCTTTATTAATCTTTTCCTGTTATACATCCCTATCTACCTTAATGAAGAGAAGACTTCATATTCTCTCTGGATCTTATATTATCACCTACTCAATATGGTATTCAAATTAATAGTCCTAAGTTCTACTCCTATTCTTAGTTCTACTTCCTGAAACTTATTTCAGCTAAATCCTGAATTGTTACTAAAGAGTTTTTGCTGATGCCAAAGTTCATCAGCTAAAGTTGTAATGTCTCATAGAGAGTTCAAGATATTCTCAACTTTCTTCACATCAGTGGATCAGGAAAGAAAAGTCCTAAGCATGATAAGCCTACATTCATCAGAATAGCATGTCGGTAGGAAGGCTCTTTCCTTACCTGATCACTTTCCCTGACCTTCAATCTCTTCCAGAGGTATAGTTGAAAACTGTAACTGCTACAGAACAGACATAGTGATACAGCTAGCATCTCCCAGGAGCTGAACTCTCCTTAAAAAATGACATTTACACATATTTAAGCAGATTTTAACAGAAAAATATGACACCATTTCTGGTTGCTTTCCTTTATGAATCCATATACATGAATAATTCTACTGACAGCCATTTTATATGCATAAAATAAGAAATTTGTGTGTGTGGATAGGAATTTTAAAAGTAGACATATATAGAAAAGAGACCAAAGACTGAGCTCAAAGGCACTTGAACATTAAGAGTTAAGGGAGATCAGAGAAGAGCTACCAAAAAAGATGAGAGAAAAATACAACCACTACAGTATAAAGAAATCAGGAAGGCATAATATTGCAGAATTCTAAGAAAGGATTTTAAAAAGTAGGTAGTGTTTAACTGTGCCAAATAGTACCTAGTATTCAAATAATATGAGGACTGAGGATTGACCATAAAATCTGGCAACCTGAGTATCATTGGTAACCATGACACACCTTATATACCCCTTAGCCTAAATTACCTTATCTGCAAAATAGAGATGATCACAGCATCCATCTCATGGAGCAATGTGGAAGATTAAATAAGAGATTAATACATGTAAGCACCTGGTATAGCGCCAGCTCAGTAATGAGCAGCTGGTGTTTTTATTACAAAAGATTGAGATCAGTCTGGATCATAGACCTTTGGATATTTTATTATTGAACACAAGATGTCTGACAACATTGTGAGAATTTGGTTGAAGCAGAGTCTAGTATGAATGGAAAATACAGAAATGATTTTACCTCAGGAGAAAAGCTGAAATCAGAACCAATGAAGAGAATAGCTTGGATAGGGTGGTTCTCAGCCTTGGATAACAATTGAGAAAACACGTCTTACATGACTTTGTGTTTTATCCTATTTCACAACTGGTAATTGCATACTTTTAAGACATTAATTACAACTTTTAAAAGCATTTGATAACAACAACAAACTTTTATTAAGGACAAATGGTATGTAAAGTTTAGTGATCTGAATGAGCGTAATGTCACAAGTCAGAATAATATTGGTATCTTTTCAGTTACACTAAAAAAAACAAATATTTATTCCTTTTATATATTGTGTGACTTCATAATTTTATAATCAGCCTTTTTAATTTTGTGTGCACCTTCATAAATAACAGTGGATTTATTATACATTTCTTGTGGCCTTTAATGTACAGTTTGATTCTTGTTTGTCTAATTTTGTAGTCAACAGCCTTCTGATTTTATAGAATTCTCTCTTATTTTGTTCTCATGAGATCTAAAATCGTCTGTGTAATTGGCTTGTGGTAAATATCTCAAAGGAGACCAATGGTAAATATCTCAAATGAGAGCATTAGAGATATTTTAACCTCTTACAAAGAGGCTAAAAGCAACTTGTCCTATTAGAAGTGTATCTTAATTAAGTATTGCTTAGAAAGTTTCTAAGACATCATGATTATACTGAAGTTAGATTCTGGACAAAGTGTATGAGAAAGTTTACGGCTATAAAAGGTTTGCTGAGAGTTTTTCCTTAAATAACGCATGCATGAATCTTTTCTTTGTCTATGAATTTTTAAAGTATTTATGGGCCCTCCGGTCTCTTAAATTTAAAGTTCATTTTCACTTTCTACTCTCTTCTATTTCTAAGACAAATCTTTTTCTTCTTACGTTTTTTACTTTTCAAAGTTTGGGAAAAAATACTGATTTTTGGAAGCCTATTTTATTGCATTCTTTCATAGCCATCTTGTGCTCATTTTCTGTCCTAATATTTATCCAGGAAAATTTGGTTTGGGAAGCAAAGCATAAATATATTTATTGATGTAGGTCTGATATCAATGAAAACATCACCGAAGATTAAAAGTAATGGTTAACTTGCAAGGAACTGGGGAATTGTAGCAAAACTTATTTGCTCAAATATATAGCTTATGTGTTATCAATTTATTTTTAGGCAAGGTTTTATTCTAAAATAAATTCACAATTGACAAATATAGTAATGGAAAATTCAGACAAATCTGTTTCAAAACTGCATAGCCAACTGGAACTTATCTCCTCTACTTTTCTTCAACTGCTCTTTTGATTTTTTTTTTTAAAGAAAAACTGAAGGTAATAAGCTCAAGGAAAGGAACATAAATATCTAGTGAGCCCACACTCAATTTTAGTGATTACAGGCACTAAAATTTCTATAGAGATTATAGGAAATTGGCAATTCAAATGCTCTCACTTAATACATACTGTGCAATGAACTGATCATTTTTCTGTTATTGCTATCATTTCAAACAGGAATTTCCATGTAGTGGACATTTTAGTAAATGAAAACTATTCTAATTTTCTTAAAGGCCAGAAATCTAGTGCAAAATAATTTAGTCCAAATTTGCTCAAGCTTTTTGCTAATCTATTGAGAAAATAAATAAATTTTATAAATTCACATTTTTTTCTGCTAAAAAAGTAATACTCAGTAACACCGAAAATATGACATCACATATTTGGTGGTATTTTTGTTCTTGACACTATAGATAAGGAGTGGGGGACAGTATTAGCTAATGTTTTTCATCATTGCCCCCAGGTGAGAACATTCTCAGTTGTTAAAAAGTTCAGAGAGGGCCAAAATTTTAGTTTCTTCACATATTTCCAATTGAAAGTGTACTTCAATCATGCCATAATGAAAACCATGTTCTTTAGCCATAAATTATCCAGAGAAAATCAGTATTTTATTATTAGTATGAAGACTTGTTCATTGTTTCTTGAAATTTCCCTAAAATCAGGTGATATTTGCGAATATTTTAGTTTAACCAATTCCTTTTCATTTAAAACTCAATTATACCAACTCAGCTATCCAGATAGAAGTATCAACACAGTACATGTCATGCCTAGAGCAAAACTAAAATTCAGATCACTCCTCTCCCATTCCAGAAGCACAAAAAGAGCTTGTAAATATTCCGTATGTGCCATTGGGCACAGATTTGTACCTTCGAGGTTTCAGCTATAACTCAAGTTTGGCTAACTTTCAACCCAGCACTTCCTTTATTCATCCTTTGCCCTCTTCTCCCGTCTTTTTCACTTCTTTAGTTGTCTGTTTATAGCCCATGCCATTTACTAGACAACAGACCTCTGGCAACTCAAAAACCATGATTTATTAATCTGTACATGTCTTACTCTAAGGAAAGCTCAAATAGCTACCAAAAAAATGCTAACATTGGCTAGGTGCAGTGGCTCATGCCTGTAATCCCAGCACTTTGGGAGGCCCAGGTGGGTGGATCACAAGGTCAGGAGTTCAAGACCAGCCTGGCCAAGATGGTGAAACCCCATCTCTACTAAAAATACAAAAATTACCTGGACGTGGTGGGGGGTGCCTGTAATCCCAGCTACGTGGGAGGCTGAGGCAGAGAATTGCTTGAACCCGGGAGGCAGAGGTTGCAGCGAGCCAAGATCACGCCATTGCACTCCAGCCTAGGCAACAGAGTGAGAATTCATTAAAAAAAAAAAAGCTAAAATTGTATCTCACAGTCAAAAAAGCTAAAATTGTATCTCACAGTCAAAAAAGCTAAAATTGTATCTCACAGTCAAAATTTGTCAATTTTTTAAAGGAAGTTCAAAAGTTTCCTTTATTTCTCTTATTTTCAGATTCAAAAACCCAATATTTAAATATGTCCGTATTCTATCTTCATTGTGTTGGGTCTTTGAAAAACTCTCTAACAGTAATCTTCCCTATTCAGAGGGAAATCAGTACTACAGCTTCTATATTACACGAAAAGGACCTACCATGAGTAGAAAGGTGTGAGTGTTCAGAAGCTCAGAGTCAGCTACAAATTCAAACACTCTTAATGTATTTATACTACATCAGGTTAACAAAAACAAAAACAAGTCACATTGTTTGTGACCAAACCCTATTGATAACAAACAAGTGGGTATAATACTACTCTCTAATGATCTAGATTTAGCCCAGTAACGTGGATTTCTCTAACACATTTCAGCCACTGTAACTGTCAAACCAGATCAGAAGTGACAATTTAGCACCAGCAGCAGCTGCTGAAGTGTTCTCTGTGCACTCCCCAGGAACCATTGCTTTCCTTCTGCCTTTTTCAGCCCTCACTCTAATTCTGGTGCAGGATTTTTTTCTGCTCATTTCACAGTACCTTGCCATTACTGCCTCCCTTGCTCTTTGCCTTAATGTCTCCTATGGGTGTTCTTGTCCGACAGAAATCTAGAAACTCAGGCAGCAAAGTGGACACTTGGGCATTAAATGGCCAAACAGAGTTAGTGAAATACAAGATTTCTGGTCCCAGCTGCAGTCTCTGAAGACATGGAATATCTCATCTTTCAACCAAAGGTTTGTTTTCTGTCTTGTTATAGACCCTTTCATCAGAATACAGAAGTTGCATTTCTCCTGTGTGGCACTCAGGAGTCGTAGCTATATATATCCACGACAGGCAAAAACCCCAGTGAGTATATGTTCTTCTGAACTATCTGAAACCACTTCTAACATACAAACCAACCTTCAAGGAAGGAGAATCTACCTGACAACATTTCTATTTAGAACACAATTTCAGGCCCAGCTTCATTTATTTAGTCACTTTATAATATTGTTTCCATCAGATTAAAATTCAGATGCACAGATCCTAAAGACATTATTTCTGCATTATGTCATAAACCTAAAGAAAATTTTGAGGATTCCCCTGGCCTATTCCCACTCCTTTGTTTAGATTCCATACATTATCCTTATAAACAGTTAACTAACACATTTAAAGAACAACTATAATATTATTTCACATAAAATCTCATAGGTCTTGAAGTAGGCTATAATCCTGTTGGTAACCATACCCCCACTCGTGTCCCTGCCCAAACTGAAATTATAATTCTAAAGTTTCTACACCAATCTATTTTTTTTTCTTTTTAGGTATTGCTAAAGCTGGAGAACAGTTGCCAATCTTACCTTGGAAAACAATTCTTTCTATTTCTCCTAGTTCCTGTAACCTGTCCTCATATATTCTTAATTTCCAAACATTTTAGATGAGCTTGTAGTGTTCATAACCAACCGCAGATACCTGCTATAGGTTAATTTGGCTAATGCAGGGTGAATTTTAGATTCTTACTCTTAGATTGCCCATACATCTGTCTGTTACTTAATGCAAGAAATGATTTAGTAAAGTTAATGATCCATTGGGAAGGCAAAAGTAAATTCATATAATGAAGCATCTAGGACTCTTCTCTGTGCATGTAAAACCACATTTTAATGAGCTAAATGAGTTTGAATATTTAAACTCTGAATAACTCTTACTATTTGTTATCCAAATTTAAAGCAATATTCCATATATAATCCATAATCTTAGAGGCTGTTTTTTAATGGCTGATTCCTACCTATGAAGTATAAAAAATGTTCTTCAAAAGCACACATGATAGAAGAGACTTCATGTAAATATCAAAAGAAACATAAAAGGAATATATGAAAGGATGACTTTGTGAGAATAAGAAATATTTGCAAAATTTTTGGAGTAGATTATGAAGAAACTGAAAGAGCTTCTGTTTACATTCTATAAACAATGTATTAAGCAGATTCCTGCCTTCATGGTAAAAAATAATCGCTGAAAATAAGGAGGTTAGTAGGTCTAAATACAGGTGAATTGTAGCATCCTCTGACATTTTAAAGTGATTTCAGAGAAAATATAATGCTTTATCTATCACACTAGAATTAAAGGAACTATTCATAAACAAAGAACTGTAGACTCTTCTCAACTGTCTGATAAATTCTCAACCAAAGCAGGGATTCCCTGACAATATCACTGACATGATTTCCTATCTTCTACTATAAACATTTTGGGGAGAAGAAACCTGTTCCAACATATTACACCAAATTTGTCCTCCCTTTAACTTTCACCCAGTGTTGAAGATGTCATAATGGAATATAAGTCTGCACTCTGCCACAAAGCAACTATTTAAATGTATAAAATAACTAATATCATCTAGTATCAAGTCTTCCAATTTTAGATTATCACTCAATGTCTTCAACTATTCCTCAAATGAAAATGGCTCCAGAACCTCTTAACATCTTTAACAGCTCCTTACAAACTCCAGTTAAAAGTCTCTAGAGTGAGACTCAGAATTGAACACCAAGACTCCATGTGGGGTCTGACCAGTAAAAAAACAGCTAGGAATTATTAAGTATCTGGAATCCTACATGTACAGGTTTAGTCAAAGATTTCATTCACTTCAGTTTAGTAGTCTAGGCGTAATGTTGTTCTGTGAGTTTCTCTCCTAATAAAACACTTAGATCATTTTCATTTAATGCCTGGCAAAGGACAATTTTTAAAAATTTTAACCTTTTTTTTTCCCTATGAGTGCTTTCTTTCTGATGGTAGTGGACATCTATTATTTGTATCTCCATATCTTCACATCCTGCAATTCTGTATTGCTAGATACTAGAGGCAACCACACCTCATTCTCCTCCCAACTGCTATGGTTTAAATATTTTATTCCCTCCAAAATTCATATGCTGGAAACTTAATCACCAACACAACATTGTTGGAAGGTGGGTCCTAATGAGATGTGTTTTTATTATGTGGGCAGAGCCCTCATTAATGGATTAATGCTGCTAAGAAAAGGGCTTGGGGAAAGAGTTCCCCCACTTCTGCTTTGTGACAACACAACATTCCTTCTCTCCAGTAAATGGAACAATAAGAGGCCATCTCAGAACCAGAGATGGAGCCTGCTGGCATTTTGATCTTGGACTTTCCAGCCTCCAGAGCTCTAAAACAATAAATTTCTGTTCTTTATGAATTACTGAGTCTGTGGTATTATGTTATAATAGCGCAAACAGATACCCTCCAATCGTGCCTCTAGTTGGAGTAAGCAATAAATTAGTTGAGTCAGGAGATGGGCATTAATCCAATCAAGGCCCTTTCATTTTTAAATTTTGAGCCAAAGAGATTATCTTCTTCTCTAGGGATGAAAAAATGAGACGTGAGATGCAGGAACTCTTAGCAGTAGGCTGGAAAAAAAAAAAACTGAGAAAGTTTGCCTGGGAAAAGAAAGCCAATATGTAATGAAAAGTAAAAACAACTTAGGCTGTTTTCAAGATCCTGGTTCCAATTATTCCTGAAGCTTAGCTGTACCCTTAAGTGCTCTATGGGTACATGTGCTAATAAATTCATTTAAAGCAAAAACAAACAAACAACAACAAAAAAAACCAACAACAACAACAACAAAAAGTTTCCAGCAAAACAGGTAGTGACTTGCATATAGATTTGACTGTCTATGGTTTTTAAGTATTCCTCCTTCTCAACTTGATGTCTTATATTATCTTTCTATTGTTACTATAATAAATTATTATCAACTTAGTGGCTTAAATAATACAAATTTATTATTTTACAGTCCTATAGGTTAGTAGCTGACGTGGGTCCCACTAGCTAAAACCAGTGTTGTCAGCTGCACTCCTTCCTGGAGACTCTGGGAAAGAATCTGATTCCTTGTCTTCTCTGGCTTCTAGAGGCCATTTGTGTTGCTTAGTTCATGATTCCTTTCCTCCATCTTCAAATGCAGCAATGTTGGATCTCTGACCATTCTTACATAGTTACATGTCCCTCTAACCCTGATCTTATCTGGAAAGGTTCTTGTAAGGACTCTTGTGATTAAATTGGACCCACCTGGATAATCCAAGATAATCTCATCTTGATGTCCTTAATTTTAAGCACATGTGCAAAGTCTCTTTTGCCATGCAAAGTAACATATTCATAGGTTCTGGGAATTTAGGCATATAAATATTTGAGTGAGGGGGAAATTATTCTGCCTACCACTAAAACACAAAGAAGACATTTCATTTCTCATTTCATTTCTCACTATTCAGTTCAGTAATAAAAATATGTTAAATGGGAGAAGCCAAAGATACCCTTCAAAACAATAGCAACACGTTAATCAACATTATTTGGAAATCATTGTATTATATCAAATGACTCTTTCAAAACTGTTTGTCTGGGAAGAAAATTTCTGCTGGTTTTATCTTTTTCTAAAGATGCTTTTGGAGATCCTTACTGGATTTCCCTAGCTACAATCAGAATGCAATATCTGAGATGTAGAAATAAAAGTATTTCCATATCCATATACTTGAAGCCTAAGGCTGCTATTATTTCTAAGCATAGAGAGTAAACACAGCCTCTCTTTGTTTTACTAATTGCTTTGTTTCCCCAAGCTGCAAGTACAACATCTGCCAGACCAGAATGCACTCCTTCCACACACCACAGAACCACGTCTGGATAAACGACCTACACATCATGGTGTAAGGGCAAGCGCTTTGCAGGCAGCCAGAAGGCAGTTTTCAAGAGGCAAAGACCTCAAGTGGAAATGAAGCTGAATCACCCTCCAAAATCTTTAGAGTGGTTATGGAGTTGTTGATTCTGTAATGATTTCATACTGTCTCCAATTTTATTGATTTTGTTTTTCAATAGAGCTGTTAAAGATTACGATTCTAAGATAAGCAGAATGTGGGCAGATGCTCACATTCTCACACACTGTTCTGCCAAGATATTTTTACATCTTTCTGCACATAAAACAAAATGAAGACATGTGCTATAGATGCATGCTACCAGTAACCCCCCATCCCCAGAAGAAGGGAGTTTACTGTATGTTAATTTCCTGGATGAGGTATTAAATTTTACTTAGAAAAAAAAATTAACAGAACTTCTAAAATAAAAGAGGTTTGCTTCTAAGGCACTTTATAAAATATTCTTAATTACCAAAACCCACTGAAAAGGCAATTTGGGTCATCATATCCAAATGTCATCTCTGCTATTTCCAATTCAATATTAAACTTCATGCCACATCAAAATATAAAACGCTGCAACAGCTTACACACTGTTGATGTTCATTCATCTACTGCACATCAGAAAAGCTCATTGCAAATATGGCATGAAAGAAAGAAAAGTAAGCAAAACACACTCAGAAAAGACTTGAAACAAATTGCCTGAAGGAACACACTCCAGAGAAAACATTGCAAAACCATAGCCTTACCTTGGGAGACTTGGGCAGGTCTACCGTCCTTTCTTCTGCTAAGGTTAGCAGGGTTAACTTTGTTTCCTCTACTGAGGGGTGTTTCGGAGGGCGAGGTGGGGGATGTGAGGCTGAGCTTTCATATCTCCGCATCATGTAATATTGCTCTTCAGTGATCTCTTCTACCAGAGTCCTGACTAGAAATGGTTCTGCATCCCTAGAGAAATTACTAACTAACTGAACAGTCATATTCAAGCGGCCCACAGGAATTTCCCAGCACTCCGTGGGGTTGGCAAAGTCACTTATGAGTAGGTAAGAGTCTGTAATGTCCTCCTCCAACTGCAGTCCTGGTGTGGCAGCCAACACGTCCTCTTCAATGGAAAGATCCCTGACAGACACCTTCACATTGAAGGGCAAACGGAACTGTTTACAGAGCTCAGAAATCGGGTACTGTTTCTTATCATGAATCACCTCTACAAAACCTCCTTCCATGTACAAAGGGAGCAGCGCAGCCTCATAGGACTTTTTGAGGATTTTTTCACAGGCCAGAACATTCACCACTTTTTTTATTCCCTCACAGAGGACTTCAGTCGTCTCTGACTGATGCACCAGAAACTGGTCCCCAACAGATACGGATGACAGCTTGTCATGAGGGGAATGAAACGCTTTGGTGGCCACCACGTGAAGAGGCTCCTTTTCACTCTTAGCGATCTCTAGGTCATAGGCCGTTGGGAACTCCCTCGGTCGCCGCTTGAACTTGCCTTTATAGCTAGTGGGGATCAAGAAGTGTCTTTTAGGAAAATTGCTTCTAATTTCTGAAGCTAAGATTCTTGATGCCTGGTACTTTTTGTGGATCACAATGGTTTTCCCAGGCTGTAAAATGCTTTGGGGCAGGTGGTTTCCTTCAGGTGCTTCTATGACTTCAGTCACTATGGGGAACTCTTTACTAGTCATTTCAAAAAGATCTTCTGTTGATAACAGCTGAAGAAACCAGTTAGCATCGTAAGAATCAGTGATGTCTTTGACTTCGACATCTAGACTGGGGAGGATGCGGATTATATCTTTTCGAACTAAAAAGAAAAAATAAATCACTATGATATTTTTGTACTTCAAAACGTTTGCTGTGAGATACTCTCCTGATGCCATAAATAAATTTCTTTTACAAAATAAAGAACTCAGATGATCATCATATATCATTTCTTATGTGTGATTTTCCTTTTTTCAAATTTTAAGATGAAAGAGATTGAATATAAAACCAACACGCATAAGCCCATACTCAGTTTAAGAAGCGGACATTAGCCAGTACCTTGGAGCTCTAGGGAACCTCCTCAAAATCATATCCTCACTTCTACTGACGTACGATCACTGTCCTGATTCTCATGTTAAATATTCCTGTGCTTATATTTATACTTTTATCATCCATAACATACATGAATATAGATATGTGTGTGAATATGTATGTAAATGTGTTCATAAATTTTATATGAAGGTTTATAAATTATTAGGTCATTTTAAGTCATATTCTTGAGGGCCAGACTTTATATATCAAATTATCATAGAAGACAGTTTTGACCCAAAACAAACCTTTATACCAAATCATATCCTGTGAGTTGAAACAATATTGCAAAATCCTAAGATACAAGCTACTTGAGATTAATATGCGAAAATAAATACCAAGATGCAATATTTTTCCAATGTCAAAGTTCTTTCTTTCTCCACTGGTGTTATATTATACCTGCCTACCAAAGGAGTGGTGCAGAGTGGGTCACAATCAGAGGAGCCATTCAAGAGCCCTAGGTATGCTGGTGAGTACTCACCAATGTATTCATTGCCTCATGCGTCACTGGGGTTAATGGATATCTGTATTTTTTCCAATCATCCACTGTCTCACGAGTCTTCCTTTGAGACTACAGAGATGCTTAAAATATTGTCCTGCATTTATTTACCTGTTCCTCATATACCACCCAACATCTTATCATTATAAATGGTCCTGAATTAATAAACTTATGTATTGGCCAGGCACTGTGTCTTATGCCTGTAATCCCAGCATTTTGGGAGGCTAAGGTGGGAGGACTGCTTCAGCCCAGGAGTTCGAGACTAGCCTGGGCAATATAGTGAGACCTTGTCTCTGTACAAAAATTAGAAAAAATTAGCTGAATCTGGTGGCATGTCCCAGCTACTCAGGAGACTGAGGTGGGAAGATCGCTTGAGCCTGAGAAGCAAATGTTGCAGTGAACCATGATCATACCCACTGCATTTCAGCTTGGGTGACAGAGTGAGACCCTGTCTCAAAACATAAAAATAAAAAAAAATAATAAAGTTATGTGTTAATATTAACAGGGTATTATAATAGTCTATATTTTCTTGATAATTTACTAACATAAATTTTATAGCATTTTCATGATATGGCATTGATTTTCAATATCTCCAGCCACCCTTCCGTCATTTTTTTCTTCCTTCCATGCTTTTGAAAATGAACAATTTGGAATATTTAGAAGACAGAATATCCTCTTATAAAACATTACATATATTACTTTTAATATTATTAACTGTTTATGCAGCATCAAAAAACCTGTGTGATTTATGTATTACTTATATGTCCTGTGTAATTATAGAGTTTCTGAAGATGCAGCAAGGAAAAAGTATTATTTTCTTGTAAAAAAAATAAAAAATCAGTGGTTGCCTATAGGCTAAAGATCTGCAAAATTGTAAAGATTTTTAATTTTTAGAAAAAAAAGGAGGGTTGAAAGAGCACTTCTTACATTAATAAGTTATGTTATAAAGTTTAGCATGCACTAACTTTTAACATTATACCTACTGGCTTCCCTGAACCTCAAGGTAAGTTTAGAAACTAAAATTCTGGTTGTTTGAATCAAAATGAGCTAGGTTTAAGAATTCTAGAGCTAGCTCTAGATAGGCTCATGCTATTCCTCAAGTCTAGGGAAGAGCTAGAGATTAGTAGAATAGATGCCATCAAGGACTTCCTGAGAACTCAGAATTGATCCACCAGAACATCAGTTTCAATACAAGCTAGATCCCAATCTGTCTTTGTACATGGTGGGTGCTGTGGGCTGGGAATAGCTTTAATGCATTGGAGGACTTTATTGCTGCTGGAGAAACCCTACAGGCCATGTTATCCGAACTCTTAAATTTTTTGTATTCAATTACTGACCTATCTTCAATACTTCTGTGCCTAAATCCACTGAAATGATGCTAGCCTATCTTATTTTACTTAAGATCTCAGCAGCATTTGACAAAGTGGATTAGACTCCCTCCTCTTTGATACATTTTTCTCACTTGCTTTCCCCTTATGTCACTTGTGATTCTTCTCAGTTTTGCTGATTTCTTCTCCCTATACACCACCCACCCCTCACACACACCTTTTAGGGTGTCTTGGTTCTCTTTTTCCCTCTATCTACACCCACGCCTACACTGATCTTAAGTGGTCTCATGTCTTTAAATATCATCTTTATGCTGATGACTACCCAAAGTATAGCTCCAGCCAAAACATTTTCCTGAATGCAGTATGTCTACTTCAGATCTCCACTTGGACATCTAATAGATGTCTCAAAATTAACATGCTTAAACTGAAATCTAATCTTCCTCCAAAACCTAAGCTATATGCTGTCTTCCCAGACTCAGCTATTGGAAACTCTTTTCTTTCAGTTCAGTCCATAAATCTCAGAGACATCCTTAGCTTTTCTCTTTTTTAACACCTGAAATATCTTACATCAGGACTATCCTGATCTAAGCTACATTGTCTTTTGCCTGGATTGTTGCAGTGGCTTTCTAACCGGTATCCTTGCAGTCAAGTCTCAATAGGGAAAGCAAATATTATTTTTAGATGCTAAATAATTTATGTCTGTCTTCTGTTTATAAGCCTACAGTGTCAGTCCTTTCACTTAGTATAAAAGCCAAAGTCCTTACCTGGCCCCTGGCACCACCTGGGTCTCATCTGCTACTCCTTTGTCTCACTCTAACTCCCCGCTGTCTCCCGGACCTCCTCATTGTCAGTCAGATCTTTGCACAGCCTGTTTCCTCTGCCTGTTACATACTTCAGCCAGATATGTTCACAGCCAACTCCTCTTCTTCTTCAAGTCTGCTTAAATATCATCTCGGCAGTGAGACCTACTCTAAATGCACTATTTAAAATTGCAATCTTCTCTTCTATTTGCCCTTTTCTATTTCTCTATTTCATGTCACCCTTCACCTTCTATCATTCCATATAACTTGTTAATTTATATTATGAACATTTTCTATTTTTGTTTCCCTAAACTGAAACATATGCCTTCCCAGAGGTGGGAGGCTTTCATTGTTTTCTTCATCAATGTCTAGAATGTCTAGAGTGGCACCTGGCGTATAGTAGATACTCAATAAATGAATTAATGAATAAAAAATAATTGCCAGAACAAAGTCCATGAGTGACCACTAAAGGAAGCAATTCAGTAAATATATTCTATATAAAATTTCACTGGAAAAAAAAGTTTTCTATGTTAAAACTCCTGCTACTATTCATAGCAGCTATTGTATATTTTATTTAAGACACTTCTCTTAAGGTTGCAGTTTCACTTAAACAATGGCCTGTTCAATGCAATAAATACTTGTATTTAATGTCTTCAACATAATAGAGAGATCAAGGTATAAATATATGAGCAAAGTAAAATATTTTCATCCAAGTTTTTTTAATAAAAAAGATTAGGCAAAATCATGATATAGATGCCTAAAGAGAAGATTCAATACAAGGAAATAGCAGATGCAGTGAAAATCAACAACTCTTCTTAGATTCACCAGAGAATTGAGGTCACAGGGCAAACCACCACCCCAAAAACTAGACAGGTAGGCAAATACAAACAGTCATAGCTCACTGGGGGCAAAAACGACTGCTGGAGGCAGCACCTGGAAGAATAGAAGGGTAACTGGGGACTAAAGGTAGAATTGTTTAAGAGATAAAACTCCTAGGGTTGGGGAGTATGTTTAGGAGGGCCTCCCACACTTTTCTGAGTCTTACTTTCAGGGGCCCATCCAGGTTCTCAGGGTGAAGATGAGACAAATTTCCTTGTGCTTCTGGCAGGGTGAGAGAAGAAGCAACTATTCTGAAACATACCCAGAGCATTCTGTTCTCCTTAAAAAATGCCTGTCCTCAAGGAAAACTATTTTAGCACAGCCTAACCAACTTGTGCTTTACCAGAGACTAACTATCATGGGGGAAGGGAATTACCCAACCAAGCCACCTCTAATATTCTATGTGGGGAAAAAGCAATACCCAACTCCAACCTTCTCTGTACTTCTACATAAAGGAAAGGGAACACCCAACTCAAGCCTCCACTAGCCATTCTATCTCTCCCAAAGGGGACAAAAAAGCTGAGAAACACTTGTGAAGGTCACAGCCTAGAGACACAGGCTCACTAATAACTGAAACCTAATCATAAATTATAGAAATCCCCCCTCCATAACATACGACCACATCAACAGTGCTCCTGTATAATAACAGGAAACTACAACTCAAAGAATGGCATTTAAGACCATACCTAAGAAGGAGTCTCTAGAGACTAAAGTCAACAGGGCAGACAAAAGAAAGCACTACATGAAAATGTAGCCTCTGACACCTACCATTATAGTAAACTATAAACACAGCCTAACTTCTAGATAGATAAACGTAATATATCAAGTTAAGACAATTTATCACAGTTTATTTTACCTGAAACATCATGTCTGGCTTTCAAAAAAAAAAAAAAACTACAACATATATTATAAGGCAAAAAAGCACACTCTGAAGAGACAAATCAAGCATCAAAGCCAGATTCAGATATAGCACATATTTGGGAATTACTAGACCAGGAACTTAAAATTTAATAATAATGCTAAGGAGTATAATGGAAAAAGGGGACAACATGTAGGGAAAGATGGGTGATGTAAGCAAAGAGATGGAAACTCTAGGGGAAAACTGAAAGGCAATGATAGAAATTAAAAACACAGGACCAGGTGCGGTGGCTCACGCCTGTAATCCCAGGACTTTGGGAGGCTGAGGCAGGCAGATCACAAGGTCAGGAGATCGAGACCATCCTGGCTAACATGGTGAAACCCCATCTCTAATAAAAATACAAAAATTAGCCAGGCGCATGGTGGCATGCACCCGTAGTCCCAGGTACTATGGAGGCTGAGACAGGAGAATTGCCTGAACCCGGGAGGTGGAGGTTGCAGTGACCCAAGATCATGCCACTGCACTCCAGCCTGGGTGAAAGAGTGAGACTCTGTCTAAAAAAAAAAAAAAAAAAAAAAAAAAAAAAAGAAAGAAATTAAAAACACAGAAACAGAAATAAAGTCTTTGGTGGGTTTCTCATTACACTGGGCACTGCTGAGGAAAGAATCAATGAGCTTGAAGATATGTCAATTAAAAACTTACCAAACCAAAAAAGAAAAAGAAATGAAAAAAATAGAACATAATATAATATCCAAGAAATGTAAGACAACTGCAAAAGATGTAACATGTATGTCCTGGGTATACCAGAAGGAGAATACAGTGGTAAAAGAAACATTTGCATTAACAAGACTGAGAATTTTCCAAAATAAATGCAGCTTCAAAACATTAAGCAGGATAAATACCAAAAAAAATCTATATTGAAGAGTATCATATTCAGGCTTCTTCAAATCAAAGACAAAGCAAAAACTTGAACCAGAGGAGCAAAAACACCTTATCTATAGAGGAAAAACACAACATTTACAGTGGACTTTTCTTTGGAAACCATGCAAGCAAGAAGAGAATGGAGTGACAAATTTAAAGAGTTGGAAAAAACCCACCAACCTAGAATTCTGCATCCAGTGAAATCATCCTTCAAAAGTAAAGGAGAAATAAAGACTTACTTATGTGAGTAACAATTCAGGGAATTTGTCACCAGTTCACCTACCTTGCAAGAAATATTTCTAAAAAAATTCTTCAGAGAAAAGAAAAATGTTAAAGGTAGGAAACTCAGATGTACACACAGAAAGGAAGAGTGCTGGAGAATAAATGAAGGCAGAATAAAACGTTTTATTTTTCGTATTCTTAATTGATCTAACAGAAAACAGTCTGTTAAAACTAATAATTGTAGCAATATTTTGGATGATTATAGCACACAGATAAGTGAAATGAATGACAGTACTGTTTTAAGAGAGAGGAGGGAGGAATGGGGAATATTTTCTTATAAGGTAACTGCAGTACTCATGACGTTATTTGTGCTATTTGAAAGTGACCTATATTAGTTGTAAATATATATTACAAACTCTAGGGTAACAACTAAAAATGTTTTTTACAGTATAATTGATATGCTAAGAGAAAAGAGAAAGTGGAATCACATAAAAGCCTCAATTAAAATTACAGTAGGCAGAAAAAGAAGGGGAAAAATAGCATATTTAATTTGATGATGAGGATAAAGACATTTTATGAAAGGCATGGCCACAACATGAGACTTTAAGAATGAAAAGAAATTACAGGCTAAGATAGAATAGGAGAGGGTATAATCCAGATGGCAAGGACACCGTGATCAATGATAAGAAGGGAAATTGAGAATAGTCAGTAATTAAAAAGAAATCCAGCATCTCAGGATTTTAAATGAGAGCACAGGGACTGGACAGGAGACTCACTGAAAGAAGCACTATGGAAATGAATTGACACTTTGAATGCCAGGCTGAGGAATGTATAACTACTTCAGGAGGAAATCCAAAATATTTCAGATTAAGAAAGACCAAATTACAATTAGGAATTTGGCAGATTATCTGATAACTCAATGGGAGAAGAGATTGAAATCAGGGAGTCTACCTTTCTTTCTATACTAAGTGCCATGAAGCCCATAGACATCCAATTTACTGGCAACCCAATCTGCCTCATTATTTTTGCATGAACTTTGAATTTTTATATTACTCTCTCATGTCTGCTAATACATTAAAATGAAAGCTTTTTTTATACTATTCTGTTGATTTTTTTATATGTTTTAAGTTTTCCACAGTCAAAAGTTAAAATAAAAACTCATTATTTGCTTAAGGTTACCTAGAATTTGGCAATGACATCCTCAAGTTTTTAAACTGAAATAGGTTTCATTAATTTTTATGGCAAATATTATATCTAAGAATCTCTCCTAGAGAAAGATAAAGACACCAACACTTATAGTGTTGTTTTTCTTATAAAACAAAAAGTTGCATGCTTTTATAGAAATATTTTAAAATATAAGAGAGGAAAAACAATTAGAATCTTTTATAGATTTATAAAATTTTAGACAACAACGGCTTATATTGTGGTATATATAGCTCTAATCATGTGTGTGTGTGTCTGTGTGTGTGAGAGAGAGAGAGAGAGAGAGATAAATTTTTTAAACAAGCATTTGTTATTTTACAATTGGGAAAATGGAATTTCCTCCCCCAAAAAAGACCAAAGAGTACAAGCTAAATTAGAAAATGTCATTTTCCAAAAAAGTTCTTTTTGACTCTAAAATGTTAGATAAGAAGGCAACACCTGAGAGCATGAGACTGAGAAACATTCCTGGAGGTTTGTATTACAAGTTTTTCTGTTCCAAACTAAACCAAAGTAAAAACATTATGTACTTATCAAACTTTAGTTTAGACTTCCCAGAATTTCTTTGTGAGTGAATATGAATTATCCTTGCTGGGTATGTTTTCTTGTTATCCAAAGGGAGCTCCTGTGAAAAACAATTTCCATTCCATTTTTTCTGAAAGAGTAACAGGTTACTTCTTTATGTTGCTGAGTTGTTTCACTAAGTTCTTTCAGGGAAAGTCCCTTCACAGGGTGAATGCTAATCATAATGTGGTGCTTTTCTATATTTGCCACTGTAACAACCCTCTTAACTAAGTTTGAATTTAGGGGACACCACTAAAATTGTCTTTAAAGAGAAAATAAAGAGTTACCTTTAAGCTTGGTTGGTGATGGGCAACATATGTTTCCCTGGATATTTAATATTCAATTCTAGAACACTCTTGGTCTCAACTCACTAAGTGAGAACCAATCCTTTGCAATTGGACCTAAATTAGTACAGGGATGGAAATCTGCTGAGACACTCTTATTCAAGACTTGAGGACAAGATGATGGTTTCTACATATTTTTCTCCAAAGAAATTTTATAAATTCTAGTGCTACAATTTCTCCCAACTTCTAGTTCCTCCATTATTATTTAATAATAATAATCTCTATATTTGTTAGACATTTTTACTGTTTAATCTTTGTCATTTACTTTCTAAGACTACAGTTGTTTTTCTCAAAAGTATGAACTTCATCTTCATCTCTCACCCACTCAATGAATTGTTTAGTTACATATTTGCATTGCATTACAATCCTTATTATAGGGCAGTTATTAGATTTACTAAAAATTTCTGAGCTCTGCCTTGTTCCAGACTTTTAAATTAAAATTTGCTTTACAGTTCATTCATTTGATCTCAATTTTCTTTATGGATATTCTGCAAATTATTTTTTTAAATTTATTTAACTTTATTTCAACTTAAGGAAAGCTATACTGTGAATTTCTATTTTCTTACCTGGTTCTCCTCTGGTTCATCTGCTGTCCATATTTCTAAACAAAGAGAGCCTTTTGAACGGCTCTGTAACTCTTAGAAAAAATAATCATAATCCTCACTGAGAAACTGAGAGTTATTTAAAATGAATACACTTGCATTTGATATGAGTTTATTTGTAACACTACTTTGACTTTTACATTTTAATTTAGTCCATAAAATCTAAGAAAAGCAAATAAACACTTTTTTAGACACTTTTAACATGTATCCCATTGATGTTTGTAATGGTTAGTTTTACATATCAACTTGCTTAGGCTATATTACCTAGTTATTTATTCAAACACTAACCTAGGTGATGCTGTGAAGGTATTTTGTTCATGTAGCTGTCATCTACAATCAGTTGACTTTCAGTAAAGGATGTTACCTTCCATGATTTAGGTGGGCCTCATCTAATCAGTTGGTGGTCTTAAGAGCAAAAACTGAGAATTCCCAGAGAAAAGGAAATTCTCCCTCAAAACTGCAGCATTAACTTTTGCCTGAGTTTTGAGCCTGTGCAGCCTGTCCTACAGATTTAGATCTTTTCAACTCCCATACTTGCATGAGCCAATTCCTTAAAATAAACAAATATTTTTATTTACATACAATTTGTTTTATATACAAATAAACACTGTATATATTAATGTATAATTAGGTATATTTAGCACACATAGATATTCTTTTTCTCTGGAAAATCCTAACAAGGCATTAATAGTTGGTAATGTAAAAATAAATATATACATAATACAAAATAGGTACCTTCCTCTGCTAGCTGCATGATATTTCTATTAGCAATAAGACTGCAGCCTAAAGGAACAAAATGAAATGGGAGCTGACTAGAGTATCTACTGGTTCTAAATGTCATGTTGTCGTAGTATTTTCATGGACACATTGCGAAAAGCATCACTAACAAAAATTGAACCTGTTATATGAATATAAATGATATAAACTTTGGTACCATGAAGTTCATATTTTCCTTAGCTATTGAACTCATAAATATGTCATCATAATAAGTCAAATCTGGATATAGTGAGTGAGAAAACCCCCTTGTTACCTAAAGAGGAGCTTTGTACTGTGAAACATAAATATACACGCATAAACAATGTGTTACTTGCTTTATTCATTCTTTCATGTACTTGATTTATTGAATGCTTATGGAACATTTACTCTATCTCAAGCACTGAGAAGATACAAATACATACATAAGAAATTAATGTGATATTTTTATAAACTAATGAAAATTGTGTTTTACTAAATATATTAAATTTATAAATTATACTTATTATCATTTAGCAGGAGTAGCAACCAGTCCTTTGAGAGATTATAATAGATCCAGGCAAAACTCTGGGCTAGAACTAATTTAATTAGGTAGTGAGGTTTAGGGCTAAAATTATACCTTTTCAATCCTTTCTCCCATCAAATTTACCACAGGGGTAAGAAGTCAAAAAAGAAAGTTTTTTAAAAAAGGTTCAATGAATCTAAAAGATATCTGCAATCCTTAATCTAAATGAAGACAGAAATCAGAGGGAAGAATGATAAATTACTTGACAGAATAGAAAAAGGAGTGCCTATGTGCCTGAGGAGGCAAAATCCAAAGAAAAATGAACTGTTGTTGTCCCATAAGACCTCCAAAGATAGAATTTGGAGACATAAGACCCCTGGAAAGCAAGGTGAAGCCAGGAGGCTAAAAACACAGGGATTATTCAAATGTCTGAAGAATGGTTAAACCCAGGTCTCCACTCTAATCTAGGGGAGATAGGTGACCACTTCTTCCACCTCTCCCTCTGCAGGAAACAGTATATACAGGATCTCAGAACCTCCGAAACCAGACATAGGTGAGCAGGAGGGAAGCGTGGAACTGAAAGTGAAGGAGTTAATTATAAATCTGTAAGTGGGAGTGGTGAGATCTTTAGCTCTGTCCCCACGTAGCTCCAATAGTTTCATAATCCCCAGAAGATACCACAAAGATTCTTCTTAGGTGAAACTGAACTCAAAAAGGAAAGACTCACAAAACCTAAATTTGAGGAATGCTGCAGTGAAAAAGTTGGCAGGATAATATCTAAAATTCATAAACACAGAGCTTATATAGAAACAGTGCCTTACTTGTACATTTTTGTTTCAACTGACCCCTGTAAATATGAACATATTACAAGTAATCACAAAGCATTTGATAAAAACATTTAATAAGAAATGATACACCAAAACTTAAAAAAAAAAGAACCCCAAAAGAGGAAGATATTTTGCAGTGAACGCTTGAAAACTTAAAAAAACTATCTAAAATATTTTTGAGAGAGACGGGGTTTCACCGTGTTAGTCAGGATGGTCTCGATCTCCTGACCTCGTGATCCGCCCGCCTCGGCCCCCCAAAGTGCTGGGATTGCAGGCGTGAGCCACCGGGTGGCAGGCGCCTGTAGTCCCAGCTACTTGACAGGCTGAGGCAGGAGAATGGCGTGAACCCAGGAGGCGGAGCTTGCAGTGAGCGGAGATTGCGCCACTGCACTCCAGCCTGGGCGACAGAGGGAGACTCCGTCTCAAAACAAACAAACAAACAAACAAACAAACAAAACTAACTGAAATATTCTCAGAGAAATAAGATGTATTTTAAAAACAAGAACAGTGTAAAATATGTAAAATGATGTAAGAAATAACTCTTGGAAATTAAAAATATGATAACGAAAATTAAAAATTCATTAAAACAGTTGGAAATGTAGTTATGAAAATTTTCCCTGGAGGTAAACAAAAGACAAAAAGATATAAAATAGAAAAGAAAAAAGGCCCTAGAAGATCAGTATGGGAATTTCAGTATGAGATTTGAAATTAAAGACAGAGAGAAGAGAAAATATAATTGAGTGGACATTATCAGAGAAATTGTTCCAAATATGAAGCACCTAAATATTCAGATTGAAAACTGTCATCACTAAGAAAGAACAGACCCACCCCAAGTCACATTACTGTGAAACTTCAGAATACCACGTATAATCTCTCCAAGACGATACAGGATGGTGGAAGATAAGGGAGTAAAGTTTTCAAAATTCTGAGGGGAATTTATTCTCAACCTGGAATTCTGTAAGTAGCCAAACTATCAATCTTATATGTGTATAGAATATTTTTCAAACATTCATGCACCGTTCTCAGGAAGCAAGGGAAGGTTGGCCTGCATAAAAATTGGAAGAAAGTCAAGATAGAGGGAGTTATTTGATTTCAGAAATAGCTAGTCAACACAGACACAAGTCAACAGGGAATCACCAGGATTATTTTAAATGGAATTCCCAGGGCAGCACCTATGCAGTTGGTCTCAAAAATAAGCAATTCCAATTGGAACATGAGAACGAAGAGTTACAAAGGAATACATTCAGGAAAATAAATTAATAGAAAAGGTAGCCTTCCTGATAGTTTGGGTTCTTTGAAAAATTACACTGAGTGGCCTTTTTTTATAGAGTTGAAGAATGCTCTAAGACTTAGGATAAAATTGAAGAAAATCAAGCAAAGAAAACGATAAGGTCGTCATCGCAGAAAAACAGTTATGGAGAAATGGAATTATACTCGTTATACACCACTTGGTTGAGCAGTGAATTGTCACAATAATGAAAATATTAATGCTTAGCCATAACTTATAATATACTGAGAATATAGGGAAGGGGAAGTAGGAATATAAGAGAATTAAGTCTTCATTGTCATATGTGAAAGTCAATAGTTACTATCTTAAAGTTGATGACTTGAAAAAGAGCAATATTCCTTTATTATTTAGATATGTGCCAGAAAGTAGGGGAAAAATATTTAAAGGCATTACCTCAGAAGAGCAGAATATGAGGAAAATTTGGCCCTCGTGTCAAGGGCATAAAGGTTTGCTGATAACATTGTTATAATTCTTTTCACTATTTGACTTTTTGGACTTTGATAAACATTAAAATTATTTTTAAAAATTAAATGAGAGAAAGAGGAAGTCTCAGTATTCTAAAGACCAAAGTGTTATTTTTCTGCTATTCATGTATCACTGATTATACAATATGCAGATACAACTGTTCTGATACTACTTTTCACTTGTGTGATTTCAGCCCTTTGCTTATAAAATGAATTAATTTTTTACATATCTGGGCTAAAACCATACCTCCCAAATTTGAGAGGCATTGAGATTTTTTCAAAAAAGAAAGAGAGTTATACAACTCTGAAATTTTCACTCAGGGAAGAAATAATTATCAATCTATATGTCAAAACATGACACTATTTTAAAAGTTTTAATGGTCAAGACCTCTCTCTTTCAGAGGCAAATATAAATAGCTCACTCAATTTTTTCATTTGCAAATATTATGTATTCCATTTACTATGCTAATATGAATTTTGTCTTCCTGAGAAAGGCACAATACACATCATGATGTGACTTACATAAGACTAGTAGTTTGAAGTTTGCACTGTTATGTGTATCTATTTTCCAAAGAGGGATAATTTTTTCTAAATCATTAAATGTGTGATGAGGGTTGGGGGGTTCAGACCTATGACAGAGATTTTGGCCAAGTTTCCAGAAACAAATACTTCATTTAAACATTTTTATTTTTTTTTTGAAGCCCAAATATTCACATTAATAATTAAAAACTAGTAATAGGAGTAGAATATCTTATATTCTCTCTTATCTCTATTTATTTGTTATGTTCTCTTTTCAGCAAACATGGCTCCCTGTAGTTCTCAGTATTTTTCATCTTGCTCTTTCCCCTAAGGTTTCTAGAAAACTTCCAATTCCCTGCTCAGACCTACTCTTTTTCTTGACGTCAAGGCAATTTTGAATCTTCAATTTAAGAAAGAATCATGTAAAACAACCACAATGGATTCAAAACATGGTCTACATTTTATATGCAGGGCAAAAATGCCTACAACAATACAAATACTTTAAATTAGGTATTTGTGATAAGACACCCCTCCTCTATTTCCAAGGAATATTCTGCAGTCAATACACATGCAATCCAGTCTCAGGCAGTATCTGTCCTGAAATTGCTATACAATAAGAACTATGTTTAAAATAATCCCTATGAAATTAACGATCCAGTATAATTAAAATGGGAATTTAATTTAAATAGCATTAAAGAATGGGAATTAGACTAAAACATTTTGTAAACGGTATTATTTCAACCAAGGGCTTTCTTCTCGGTCTTGGTTAACATAAATTCACAGTTAAGTCCTACCTAAACAAATATGTTAATATCCCCTGATCTGATGATGATTACATTCAATAGACTGCACTTCCATCCAGTAGATCAAGCCAGGAGGCTGGGAACAAGTTTGGCTTTTTTCCCCTTCCAATAGATCTTCACATTTTGCTCTCTGTACTTCTTAAATACCCATCAAGCCCAACTATGATTCTCTGTCTTTCCCATTGATGTCTCTACTGTATAAATTTCCTGTACCCTGGCACTCAGCTGGCCTCACTACTCTCCTCTGTTCTTCTCTCCCTGCTTAAAGCACTTTACTGATTTGCCCTTATGACACATTTTAGCCTCTTAGTATATACTTCAAGACCCTCCATGATTGATTCCACTCCCCATTGCATGTGTTCATATTTGTTTCAACCTGCCCTCTCCGTTTTTTTCTCACACCAACTACACTAGAGCTCCCATCCCTTCCTCACCTGCTTCCCCAATACCACTCCTGCCTTCTCCAACCTTGTTCCTTTCTTCTTTGCCTGATTACCTCCTATGCATCCTTTGAGCCTTCCATTTAAATGCCATTTCCTCGGAGTAGTTTTTCTTGCTTCCTAATTTATTAAATGTTGTAACCACTTTATCCATGTGCTTAGGTTCTGGGTTTACCCTCATTTGTAACTATGCGATAGGCAGGAGATGCCAATAGTTGTAGAAAATAACAAATTTTAAAATGAGAAAATACTATCTATTATTTATAAAAATCAAAGAAATCTCAATTACTCATCTCAACTGCACATTTGGGGATCGCTAACAGACATTAATGTGGGGTCTACAATTTGCCATTGCCTCAATTTTTTGTAATACTAAAAACTCAAAACTACTTGAAAAGGTAGGCAAAAGAGTATCATCATTTTCTTTGCATAAACAGGGAGTTTAAATGGTGCACTGAAAACCAACACCTATTAAGTTATTGACCCAGAGTTAGAATCTAGGACTCCAAGTTCAGAACTCTTTACTATCCATCCTACTCACGTGTCATAATCCTGAAAATTCAAGGTATTAACACCTTTGAAGTAACAATGCTCTCTCCAGATATTCGTATTTCAAAATGCAAATAATTCTATGAAGATTGCATATTAAAACACGCCGGGCCGGGCGCGATGGCTCACACCTGTAATCCCAGCACTTTGGGAGGTGACGTGGGCCGATCACGAGGTCAAGAGATCGAGACCATCCTGGCCAACATGGTGAAACCCTGTCTCTACTAAAAGTACAAAAAAATTAGCTGAACATGGTGGCGGGTGCCTGTAGTCCCAGCTACTTGGGAGGCTGAGGCAGGAGAATCACTGCACTCCAGCCTGGCAACAGAGCAAGACTCTGTCTCAAAACAAAAAAACAAACAAACAAAAACACCACGCCTATGTGTGAATTAATTTGTCATATAATTTTCCCTTAAGACAGAGGGGCTCTGGGTTAGTAGAGATTTACAGCCAATAATGGATGGCTGGAAAAAGAAAAAGACTGTCAGAAAAATAGAAGTAAGGGATGCATCAAGGAAACTTTGCATATTTACCTCTTTTGTTGACCACCTCCATACAAGAAAGCCTCATTCTAACTAAATATGTTCTATTTTTTAAAAGTAGCTCTTTTCTAGTCATATTTAACTGGCAGTAATAAAAATAAATTAGTAGTTTGATCTGTCTGTTCCTGATAGTTATAGCACCTCATATGTGAATAGCACCATACAATTTACAACATACTTGTATATTCATTATTCAATATGATCTTTTGAGCAAATATATGGTTTGCTTATTGATTGATGAGGAATCTAACTCTCACAGGCTCAATAGTTGAAATAAAGACAGACTCCCATTCTTCAGGCTCTAAAATCTTTCTTTCCCAAACCCCATAATGCTCATGCTCATAGAACATCATTCTCAGTGGATACTCACATTTCATCACACCTTGAATTTCATAAACAGGCTTGAGAATCAGGGTACCATAAAAGTCTTTAGGAAATGGATTCGTTGAGTCCCACTTATTTGAAAAATCTGTAAGGTTTACAGTTCTTGTTCTGTTCTTAGGAATCTTCCATTCAACAATCTCCTTTAGAGTGTAAATACGTTCATCTTCACACTCGTAGAATTCTCCTTCTTGTGACAAAGGCAAATTAAATGAGTGAGTTTGATGATTCCTTGCTACTGCACAGCTCACCATTATTTCTCCATCAATCTCTTCAACTGAGTTGAGCATGATTTGCTCACCCTGCTTTATGATGAGGTTCTCTAGTTTTATATCCTTCTGATGATAGAAGCAAGGATGCCCTAGTCTACTTGGTCCAATATGAATGGTCCTTGTGATTTCTTCCATAGTAAGGTATGGAGTTTTATCAGCCACAATCTTAAAAAGACCTAAGAACAGAATTACGTGAATTAAAAAGAGAGTTCTTACAATGAAAGTTCTCACAAGAAAATCACAAGGAGAGAGTTACAACACAAGTACTGCATACATTTTTAAAGTGATATCTTTTTAAAGATTAGAGATGCTTATTTTAATCCAGAGTTCTTCTAGGTAAAATTATGAAGTATTGCTTATAGATCACTAGATCATAAGACCAGACAATACAAATGGAGACAAGGGGAAAATACCTTGAAATAGAAAAGAAACTGTTCTTGGAAATGGGAAATCTGGATGACACTGGCTCTGTTCCAACTACTTTGTGATCCCAAGCAAGGCATCTTACTTCTCAGTCACATTTTAAATTTTTTATTTTTAAAATGAGAAGATTGGATTTGGTCAGCTTTTTTATGAATATATTCTCTAGACACACTAAAATTAAAAGATATTCCCAAAGGGAACTGATTTGTAGTCACATTCATGATTAAAAGCTATATAGCTGGGCCTGCAATCCCAGAACTTTGGGAGGCTGAGGTGGGAGGGTCACTTGAGGCCAGGAGTTTGAGACCAACTTTGGCAATGTGGCAAAACCCCATCTACACAAAGAATACAAAAATTAGCTGGGTATATTGGCGTGCACCTTCAGTCCCAGCTACTTGGGAGGCTGAGGTGACAGGATTGATTGAGCTCAGGAGGTAGAGGTTGTAGTGAGCCACGATCACTCCACTGCACTCCAGCCTGGGCAACAGAGTGAGACTCTGTCTCTCAAAAAAAAATAAAAAATAAAAAATAAAAAATAAAAGCTATATAGCTTGGACTAGATAGATAGCAGTGATGGTTGCACAATATTCCAAATGTACTTAAAGCCACTGAACTGTACACTTTAAAATGGTAAAGTTAATTTTATGTGTATTTTACCACAGTGAAAAAGTATGTGCATAGGTCCAAATAATGTAAGACTTCTCAGAAACTTTAAATACACCATGACTCTCAAGAGAAGAATATGAGATGCAGAATTTACCAAATTTCTTTGATTATAAAACCCTTGTGGAAAACACACATTAATAAATCACAACATAATATATCACATAACCCTCCTTGAAAATACCAGGTTCTGTAGTTGTTCTGGACTGACTGCTCTTGACTATATGTCAATTGTTCTTCTCATTTTCTCTCATTACTTCTCTAATTTTTCCATTAGAAAACTGCACTATTTTTACTATTTCATTGATATCTATTTCACTAATTTCAGTATTTGAAATGTTGTCTCCATCAAGATAACCAACTACTACAATAAAATTTTACTACTTAAGATACAGATTTTTGTACATTGTATGTCTAAGTGGTTCTGTTTGATTTATTTTATTTTTATTTTATGGGAGCAACTGCTTTGTATCACTTTCAGAAATGCATTTACTGAATAGATTTTAATAAATTCCAGAGAAAATGAGGACAAAGAAGAAATTAGTTAATTGCTTTCTTAACCCAAAAGTAATTAATAATATTATATACTAGCATGCTCTAAGAAGATAGTGTATTTTTAAAAACTTAGTAAAATTATATAGCTTCAAAAAGTCATTTATTATTTTGTCAACAAGTGTATTCCAGTGAAATTCATCTATATATCAAATCATTTTTAGCCAATTATAGTGTCATTTTTGTATATTTTTGGTTACTGTTCAAAGATTATTTTAATCAGTTATTTTTGAAGTCATTTTTACTCATACAAACAAAAGGAATTTTGGTGATTTTTAGATATAAACTTCCTGAAAAACTGTGACTGATGCAATCTTGGCAGGAATGAGCAAGGTAGCAAATGCAACCTATCCTAAAAACTTTTAGAAATAGAATAGTGTTCACTCACTGTATGCTGTGCTTGACTAAAATAAGGGAAAGACACATTTACTTTGAAGGGATTTCTCATTTTATTATATCCTGTATCAGGGAGAGTTCAATAAAATAGTGTTCTTGAATTCACCACAGTAAATGAATTTGTGTGTGTGTGCGCGTGCCTGTGTGTGTTTAATCTCATTTGTCTGTGTGTGAAGATTTATTTCTAAGAGTCCACAATCATTATGAGGGTATAGAAAATTCAGCAGTTATTGTGAAATAAGTTTTTAAAAAATGCGTACCTAAAATCTCATAAAAGGTAGAGACACATAGTTTTATTTTTATCCTAGCTATATCGATGACATAAGTCACAGAAGAATTAATTTGGTGTCATCTTTCTTGGGGAATAGAGCTCACCTAAGGTAATAACAGACCTAAAATATTATGAAGTAGGAAAAGGCTAAAACCCTAAAGGTCATCATTATTTCAGTTAATCACACTATTCAGAGCTGTCTTGCTGGATGTCTCTATTGCAAGAAAAATGTGTCTGTGAATCTGTGCTTTTCCTTAAAAGATGATGAAGTACACAGTTTAGCATACTAAAGTGGCACAATATAGGAAAAATATTTGATTAACTTATCTCTTCATATACTATTGCAGCCAATCCAAATCATTCCTTTTTAAAAACAGCCATTGAAAGCCATAAAAACTAGGACATGTTGTAGTTGTTGTTTTAATATGATGCCATATTGGAATTTCAGTTTCACAATGAAGAAAGTTAAATATAAACTAAAGCACCACTGGGACTGATTAGATCTAAATGTGACCAACTTTTTTTTCATCTTTTTCTCAAAGTGTACAATCGTTTTATACTGGGAAAAATATGCTTTGTTATTCTTCCAAAGAAAGACAAGACACATTCCAAGACTTGAGTAATCAAGTTATTAAAATAAGCCAATATGCAACCTTTATAAAACAAGTTAACACATGAAAATAGATGTCTATTTCCACCTAGGATTGTCAGATCTTTTTTTTTTTTTTTTTTTTTTTTGAGATGGAGTCTTGCTCTGTCTCCCAGGCTGGAGTGCAGTGGTACAATTTCGGCTCACTGCAAACTCCGACTCCCAGGTTCAAGTGATTCTCCTGCCTCAGCCTCCTGAGTAGCTGGGATTACAGGTGTGCACCACCATACTCAGTTAATTTTTGTATTTTTAATAGAGACAGGGTTTCGCCATGTTGGCCAAGCTGGTCTTGAACTCCTGACCTCAGGTGATCTGCCCGCCTCAGCCTCCCAAAGTGCTGGGATTACAGGTGTGAGCCATCACACCTGGCCTGTTAGTTCTCAAAATAAATTTTATTGTTATTTTTGAATTAGGAGACATTGTTCATTAAAAAAAACACGTCACTTAACTAACATAAATCATGGGAAATGTAATAGATTGACCTGCTAAAAATTAATTAATAAATGAATGTAGTCTTTCAAGTCTTTTCCTTGAATCTTAGGTTTTGAGTGAGTTTATATTTTTAACCCATTCTTAATGATTTGCAGTTGTTATTAACAGTAATTGCAACAACTGAAATTTGTTTAGAAATTTACAAGTTTGAAAACTTTTTCATATGCATCCTTTATCCTTACAATAATCTTTTGAGGACAATGAAAGAAATATTATTACTATAGGGGGATATGAAAATAGTTACAATTTTTACAACTGGTAGTCATAGCTCTGGAATCTCAATCTGAGCTTTGACATCCAAGGTTTGCATCCTGCCACCAAGCCAGTCTTGCCTCCCTGTTGCATGTATGACTTACAAGGACATTGCTCATGAGAATAACATGTTTATGGGTCTCACCAGCCAGCCCTCTCTTTACATGGATCAGCCTTCCCCAGATGCCATGGTGTGAGAAGAACAATAATAATCTCTGGTCCTACTTTGAAGGCTTTGATAGGTTATTTCATGCACACCATTTCAATCTAAAGATGAATAGAGATACTTGAGCTAGAACTTCTAATGGAAACACTGGATTTGGGGTAGTCTTAAAAAATATACATTTGTAGAATATACCAACCTAAAATTTGTCTTGGGAATGTAACACAGTGATAGAAAAGCCACAAGAAACATGTGAAATGAGAAATATATATGACAAATATATAATAACAAGGATGTTTAAGTTGGTATATTCTATAAATCTATCAAAGCAAAAAGTTCAAAATCCTCAAAGTATTGGAATATAAAATAATAATAGTCTGAACTGAGAAGAGTCTCCAGATTTTGGTGTCAATTATAGATCACTGAACATCATCAACTAATGAGTGACTCCAACAATCTTCAAAGAAGAGTCTTCAAGAGCAGAAATAAGCAATGTGGGGGAAGTTAAAGTGTGTGATAAAGAAATGATACACAGTAATTTAACTGAGTATTTGGGAGGGCAGAACATATGTCTAAGATGGTGAGGAAGTTTCTTAAAATGTTGAGGGAAACTAAGTGAGACTATAGAATGCCTGTGTTCAAATGTCTTTACATTAATAATTGATTTGGGGCCAGGCGTGGTGAGTCACGCCTGTAATCCCAGTACTTTGGGAGGCCAAGCGGGGACAAATCATTTGAGGTCAGGAGTTCAAGGCCAGCCTGGCCAACATGATGAAACCCCGTCTCCACTAAAAATACAAAAAAAAAAAAAAAAAAAAGCTGGGCGTGGTGGTGCGTGCCTGTAGTCCCAGCTGCTAAGAAGGCTGAGGTAGGAGAATCGCTTGAACCTAGGAGATGAAGGTTGTAGTGAGCAAAGAACATGTCACTGCACTCCAGCCTGGGCAACAGAGTGAGACTCCATCACAAAACAATAATAGTAATAATAATAATAATTGAATTGAAACTGTCTGCAGTAGCTATTAATAGTTTTTCATATTGCTTTTACCTGCAGAGGTAAAAGAATATATCATAAAATCTTTCAATTCATTTTTACCTCTTTGGTTCAACCATTGCATGGGGAAAACAAATAAACTTTCCCAGTAACATTTAAACTCCTTGAAAGGAGTGACTGCAAAACCTAACACATTTGGGATGCTTAACAAATTACATATTAATAATGTTAGCTCTTAAGATCAAATGATATAATCTGATATCTAGGCCTAAAGCTTTATTGTAGTCACAGCTTATTAATAAATGTGCCGCACGTCATACATACACTTGTTCATGTTAAAACTTTCTCTCTCCCAGGCAGCGAGAGTGAGTAATAGACCTACGATGAGGAGAGAGAATGTGAGAAATTGTTATTTTCATAACCTTGATGGCAACACAGCTCCCTAGATGCTCATTAGTTCTGCAGAGCACTGTTCCTTGTGTTTTGAGAAGACACATAGAGGTATCAGGGCTAGAAAGAACCTCCACAGACCTTAGGCACCCCCAAACCTCTCACAAAGCATTGTTAAGAGGATCTTCACAATACCACATATTTGCTGTTCCTAGCCCTAGGTGATTTTAGGTAGAATTTTCAGGATTCCCAGGCCCTAGGTGATTTTGGGCAGTAGAACTTTCAGGATAAAGGGAACACAACTAGAGTGGGGTGGTTAAGATTATGGCTTGACAATTCCTATTAGCCTGGGTTTTAATTCTGGCCTCAGCCCCTTCCTTAACATGTATACTTCAGAATTTAAAGTCTCAGGGCTACAATTTCATTTTTCATAAAATGAGAAAAATTATATCATCTACCACATAAAGTCATTGTGGTGATTAAATAAGCTAATACAGGTAACATGATTAGGTAGTACTTAACAGCTAGTAAGCACCAAATGATTAAAAACATAGTGGTTATTAAGTCTCCTCATTTGCCTTTACCCTGGGATTCTAAGCCATTGTAGGATGGTTATAAGGTCAGAAAAATTGGTACCTATGTAATTTCAATGCCAACGAGGACAAATTAGATATTCTAGCCTGGATCAAAATCGAGATAACAAAATATATGGAATCTACAGCTCAGCATCTGGCACAGATTGAGCAAAAATTTCCAGGAATGATAATTTCCACAGATTTCACCAGCATGTTTGAATATGGAAATGAGCCTCAGGTGACCTCTTTAGGTGGACTGCCTTTGGAGAAATATTTCCAGGTTGCTTTGAGGAGCTTGTCCGACCCCATGCTTTGATAAATTACTTAGAATTTAACCATCATAATTTTATGCCCATAATGAGCAGATTAGAGGGAGAATAAAAGATGTAAGCACATTTTAAATGCAAATATTATGCTGCTCGTTGTTATTCACAAGGTATACATTATACACAGTTACTGAAGTTCCCTTGAACAAAGAAAACAGCAAAATGCCAAGGCATTTTTGAAAAAGTGTTTTATTCATGACTCTGAAAGGTAGCTGAAGCCAGTTGAGGGAGGACTATACCCTCCCTCTATTTTAATGATCTTAATTTTGTTAATGGAATGTTAGTAGAAAGAGTTTGGGAGCCATGTGGAGCTGATTGTGTTGTTCAGTATTGATGTTGCCTGCAAATTAAATGTACCTAAGTAGCCACCTGTTTATGCTTATGATTATGTAAAGCCCCATATGTTTCTCTCTCTACACATGGGAGGTAAATATTGAAGAAATTATTCTGGTGTGAAGGGTGAAAACAGCAGCAATTCTTCTATAACTGTCAACATATGCTGTGGTGTTTCCTTGTAACATTGTGCTTTGTCTGACATATTTGCTGATTTTTATCATGCAGTGTTCAAAAAAATCTGTTACCCATGGTTATACAAAACAATTAAAAATCAGTTTACATTAAATTCAAATTAGAAAGAGCTATAATTTCCCAATGTAACCATAAGTATTAAATGAATGTCAGGGCTTAGGATTTAAATAGATTTTGATTTGCACAATAAAGAAAACTGAATTTTTGTTTTTCTAAATTCACCAGTATATAAAAAGGAGCATTTTCTCTCTAAACACATTCTTTTGGTTCCATATTACTAGGCAATAAAACTAACTTCAACAGCATGAATTTGAAAATCCTGCCTAAAATCAGCACTGGGCTCATGAACTGGCTAACCCACAACTCTCCCAGTGGATTTGACTTGGACAGGAGCTTACTGGCCCCTGACGGTCCTCTCTGGAAGCTTTGACCTGGTACCTGGTCAGCACGAACACCTGAACAGCTCTGAGATGAATTTCTTCAGAGCACTGGGGGGTCTCGTGCAAGTAACTCCTATGGAACTGCCTCAAAACTATTCAGAGATTGACCCAGACAGTCACTTCCAGGAAAGAGCACAGCATTTGGAGCTGCTATTGTTGATCACTTTAGACACTGAAGATAAACAAATTGGGGTTTTCCAAGGTTTGTGTTTGATTAAGAGGAGTTTAAATGCTGGCTGTCTGGCAGCCCTGGATATGGCCGTCCCTGACCTTCCAATATAAAGTATACACAAAAAGACACAGAAAATGATAGAAAACGATGAAAACTTACCATATCATCAAAAACTAAGAATAATAGACCAACTACTGCAAAAAGCCAGAAGGAAGTTACCTCATAATAGGAAGAATAGAGCTGCAATGAGAAAATTCAAGGCCTACCCATGCCGGGGCTCATGAAACAGAGGAGCCCCCCCAAAATTTTTAAAAGATAATAATAATGAGAAAAACAATATTAACACTGTTGTTGAGTACATGTTATGTGCCATGGTCTGTCGTAAGCTAATCTCCTCATTTAATTTATTTGATCCTCTGAAGAATTTTGTAAGATAAATGCTATTAATGTTTTCTCTACTTTATATATGAGGAAATTGTTAAATCAAAGCACTAAAACACACCAAGGAACCCAGCCTAAATTTCTATTTGTGTGTTTGTGTTTCTGTGTGCATGTGTGTGTAGTATGTGTATATATGTATGCATATATATATATCTATATATATTCTCAAAAAAATTTTAACAAATTTAAAATAAAATTAAAATCACTCATTCTCACTGGACTGAAACAGCTGCTTTTAAAATTCTGACATTTTTTAACTTGATATATATACAGAGAGATAAAAATGTTTTAAACAATGTCGAAACTCTACTATAGACACTTCATTTGACTCCTACTTGTCTCATTTAATACTGAACCGAATAAACCTCATGCTTTACAATATTTTTCACAAATATAGTTGTTAATAGATGAATAATATGTTGTAAGGAATGTATCATGATTTACCCGATTCCTCACTGTTGGGCATTTAAGTTGATTCTATTATTTTCCTATTACAAATAATTCTAAAATGATTATTTCTTTGGAGTTGATTCGACAAGTGGAAGCACTGAGTTAAAGCTTTAAACATTATAAAGGCTCTTTTCTCAGCACAGTACTGGTTCCAGGATGGCAGAACCAAGACTAAATGTACCTGTGTCATCAATAATTATCTCTGTACATGCATAAGATGTAGATGGAATTCAAAATATATTACATGTATTTTCAAAGAAGCTACTCAATCTATTACAAAATTTATTTTCAGGAAGGATACACTCCTCAGTTAGGTTTAAGAGTGACCCTTTGACAATATTTTTCCCAACTTCATAAATGCAAAAGCTTAGATACCTATATAGGTGGAAAAGTTGTTATTGTGTTAGTACAAACTAATTTCTACACAATTATAAACCATTTGAATTTCTTCTAAGCTTTGTCCATTTTCCTATTAGTGTTCTACTAGAATATTTATTGATTTTTCTGTTTTCCATTTCAGTGACATTTAGTCTTTTAAAAATTGAGTTATCTTCCTTTGCTATTAAACATTTCTTCCTCATTTTTTTACTTTATGACAGAAAGTTTCATTTTATGTATTCAAATATATTGTTTCCTTATGGTTTTCTATTATATTTGCAACTTGAAAGTTGTTTCAAATATAGACATAAGATAGTTTTCCTTAAAATGTGATGTTTTCATCTATTTCAAATTTCTTTTGCTATGGTATAATGTTGATGATCCAATTTGATCTACTGTTTGCTACATTATTAACTATACTAGAACAATTTACTAAATAATTCTTCCTTTAAACCCAGATGTGCAGTAAAAACTTTATCAAACAGCAAATAATACTCTGCATTAAAGTCTGTTTCTGAGCTATAAACAAATGCTTAAGTGCATGGCACTAGAGTCAAATTAAAAACATTGCTGTGACGCTTCTATAACAACTAGTACCACTATTGTAAAAGTAATTTATTGATGCAGTTTTTGATTTTCTGTAAGCAACATATAGTACCATTTATTATAACTTTGTATCAGACATTAATGTTGGCAGGACAAGTACTCCCTCATTATCCTATTTTTAAAATATTTGCTTGAATATGTTCACTTGTTTATTCTCCCAAGTGATTTTTACAATTACTCTCTCAAGAGGCAACATAGTAATAATTATGATTATAATATGGAAATTTTATTCTGCATTATGTTGAACATAAATTAATTCATATGTAATTGATATATTTATAATATTCAGTTTTCTGATTCAAGCACGTCTATTTTTTAATAAATAAGTAAACTTGTATAATACTTTTTAAGTAAATAAATGAGTTAGTTATAAAATATGTTACCCCTATATATTCTAAGTGTTTATAAATGGAAAATTATAACTATATGTATTCTTATATGTAAGAATATATTCCTTTATGTACATACAGTTGTTTTACATATTTGTTCATCTTGTCATCTTACCAAGTTTCAATATTTTGTCTCATTTGATACTCTGTTTTACAGGGTAATGTTACTATTTGCAAATAATGATTACCACCTCTTTTTTTAATTTTCAATTTGTTTGAGATGGAGTCTTGCTTTCACCCAGGCTGGAGTGTAGTGGTGGAGTCACAGATCACTGCGGCCTCGAACTCCTGGGTTCATGCCATCCTCCCACCTAAGCCTTTCAAAGAGCTGGGATTACAGGCATGAGCCACTATGCCCAGCCAATTAACAACTCATTTCTAAAAGTCTTTTAATTCATTAATTTCTGGCCATATTTACTTACTCGCAATTCTAGAAAGAAGTTAAATAGGTCAAAACAAACACCCTTATAAGAACAACTCTTCCCTTGCATGACTCACCTAAGCACTGCACATCTTGGTTCCCCTACCTGACTACAGGGCATCGTTGACAGTGTGACCCTCTGCCAGGTCTGTCAGGCCCTGCCATTTTCAAGGATGTTGAAGATTTAAAATTTCATGTTTCTAAAAAAATGGAGACAGGGACACTAAAAGCCATTAAATTGTATATTTTAATCAGGTGAATGTTGTTATGTGGAAATTGTTATAATGCTATTAACTCAAAAAAATGAGATGGGAAAGACAAACAGTTAAGTCACACCCTCAAAAAAGCAGTTAGATTGGCCCCCTCAAAAGTTCCTAGTTGGAATGCAAATTAGCAGAGCCTTTATGAAATGTGATTGACAATATGTATCAGATCTTTAAAAACATTTTTACTTCTATGTATATAAGATTATTATAATAATCAGAAATGCAGACAAAATGTTAGTTTAAAAGGCTGTTCATCACAGTACAAATTGTATAAATGGCCATGTTCAGGATGGATTGAATACATTATGGAATATGCATGTGAGGGACTATTACCTAGAAAATAAAAATTATGCCTTGAAGAATATTTAATGACACAGGCAAGTCCTCAGAATAAGATTTTTTCCCATTATGCTAAAACATGTGTCTATATGTATGCATGTGTACAATGTACTGGAAAACAACAGAAACAAATGTATCTAATATTAATGCTAGATGAGTCTGGTGATGATATTATAGTGAGTTTTATTTACTTTCCTGAATTTTCTCCCATTTTCTAATTTTCTACAACATGCATGTGTTACTTGTAAAACAGAAAAATAAATACATCTTATAGCTTTAAAAACTCGGGTTCTTTATCTTCACACAAAATCCTGCACATGAATGTTTATAGCAGCCTTATTCGTAATTGCCAAGGCTTGGAAGTAATAACTATGCCCTTCAGTAGGTGAATGGATAAACTGTGGTACATCCAGACAATGAAATATTACTCAGCACTAAAAATAAATGACTTATTACATCATGAAAAGCCATGTAAGAACCTTAAATATGTATTAGTAGGTGAAAGAAGTCAATCTTTAAAGGCTACATACTATATGATTCCAACTATATGACGCTCTGAAAAAGGCAAAATATGGAGACAGGAAAAGGATCAGTGGTTACCACGGATTAGAGGAGAGAGGGGAATGAGTAGGCGGAGCACAAAGGATTTTTAGGGTGGTGAAACTATTTTGTATGACACTATCAAAGTGGATATGTGTCATTCTACATTTATCAAAACCCATAGAATGTACAACACCAAAAATGAACCCAAATATAAACTGTGAACTTTGAGTGAAGATGATGTGTCAATGAAGGTTCACTACTTGCAACAAATGTACCACTCTAGTGTTGTACATTGATGGTGGGGGAGGCTGCCATATATGGCATGTTGGGGGTCAGGAAGTATAGGGAAACTCTGCTTGCATTCCAGTGGCAAAACCTCTAAATCCCCAAAATGTAACTGTGTATAATTATAGAAATGTTCTCTACCAACGTTCAGTTAAGATGCAAGAAACAGAAGATCCAATTGTTTAAGGGCAATCTAGTTCCTCTCATGAGAATCCTTCCCTGCTGGTACTGTTAAGGTAGCATCATAAAAAGCTTTTAGAATTGTGCCGGTAAGAAAGACGGATGGTAAGGACAATGAGTGATGAGATAGATTTTAGAAGATGGAGATAAAACATTAATACCAAGAAAACTTATAGAACAGCACCAGCTGTGGAACAGCCTCCTTTAAAATGATCTTTCTGACAGAATTCTGATCTGATATTACAATGCACATAGATGAGTAACAGAATCATTTTAACCTAGAACTGCAAAAGCTGTTTGTCTTTTGGCTAATATACATGGTAGTTATCCAAAGACCAAGGATGCAGAGAAATAATCTGATCATGAACTAAAAAGCAAGAGAAAAAAAAATAGACCAAGAAATAGATCTTAAAATTATTTTAAAAGCCTGAATTTCTTTTGCATGCTGATTAATTCACATTTTCTTGCATAGTTTATACAAAATACCCCTTTTTGTCAAAGAAAAGATGTTGTAAGGTAGACACAGCTGAGTTTACTTTGCTTAAGTGAGCACAGTGGGAAATAGTACCTTAAGAGAAGTTGACCCAGAAAATTTGGAAAAATAGCCCCTGATTCCTTGGATAGCGAATTATCTAAAAGGCAGGAGCTCTATTTAGGGCTGCTCTGAGTCATGTTTTATCATAACATCCAGATGGAAAAACAGTAGCAACTTCTGACTTACATTCCTTGCTTCTTTTAACAAAAGTCCCTAAAAAACAGAAGATGGAAAGGTTATTTAAAGCTAGCAAATGTATATATTTTTTGCATAATAATTTTCCTATCAGGTCCTTTAGAAACTTATATTTTAATCAAATAAAAAAATCAGCTACAATAATAAAATAAAGATGAAAGATTGATCATTTCAATAGTAGATGAAAATACAATGAATGACGATTGAATGTAATACATATTTTCTGTTAATGGAGTATATAATTCTCCAAATGAAACAATGGTCATTGTTAATGTGTTAGAATTAACAATGTTAATGTATCACATATTTGGTACCCAGGCATAAAGGAGCAGATTTTATAAATTTTAGCCATTTAGCCTTAATTAATTTCTTACAGAAACAATTCTATTAATTCAATTTCTGTCATCAGTTATTTTAATACTTTTCTGAATTTTTCACATGTCCAATAAAAATGATTTTTTTAAGTCTTACGGCTTAAGGGATATAGTCATGTTGGAAGAGAATTCTCCGTAGCATTTCTATACGCCTTGGGAGCTAGAGGTAGCAGGTTTCTTTTCAACTAGTATAAAAATGATAAGAGAATGTCTCCCTCCCCAGAGACATTCTAGGATAGAAAAGTCTTTCTCCTCACCTCAAAGGAATTATTTTACATTCCAAGGTAATAAATATAATTTTTCTTGGAGGGCAAAAGTTGGCAGTTCGCCAGCAACCCCTTATTTGGGGTTTGTAAGCTCAGGGTTCCCCAATTATGTGTTCAGCAACCCCCTGTGTCACTTTGGGGGTCTTGGGGGTCAAAGACAACCTCTGAGACATGAAGTTTATCCTGCCTGCTGTGCAACTCGGGCTCACTGTCTCCTTAGTGATGTAATTCATGGAAGGGTGGTATCACCCTAGTAGCTTCCTGGCTACTTAAGAGTTTCCTGACAACTTGATAGATGAAATCCTTTTATCTGGTAGAAATTAATTTAAGTAGGAAGCACGTCCCAAAGCTTGTTTTTAATACATGGTTTAAATCTATGAAACATATGAAAGAAATTTTCTATTTAGTGAATTTAGTAAATTTTCTAACATTCATCTAAAAATTTCTGTTTCCTCTTGTTCTAGGAGTGATATTAGTTCAAATCTTTTTAACATTACAATGCTACTGCATATAGTAGAAAAATTCCTTATTATGGCATTAACGTTGATTGACAAAAATATCACCTCTTTTTTTTTTTCTATGATTAAGCAAGAAGTGCTTCAGAACACAAATCTGGACCTATACATACTGTTCATATCTGTTATTTCCAATACTGTACCATTAACGTAGCCATTGTGCTGAGCACTTGAAATGTGGCTACTTGAATTTGGACAGTCTAAATTGAGATGTACTATAAGTGGAAAATATATATCAGATTTTAAAGGGTTAGCATGAAAAGATGTAAAATATTTCGATAATTTTATATCAATAAGTTGTTGAAAGTATAATATCCTAGATACACATTTTAAATAAAACATATTAAAATTAATGTCACCTTTCTTTAATTTTTAAAGAAAGATATCTGTGCTAGGTAGCCTCCAAGATGGTGCCCAGTTATTTCTCCCTCCTGGTAGTCACACCCTTGTTCAGTGCCCTCCCAGATTGCACTAGCATTGATCTGTGTGATCAAAAGGGTATGGTAGAAGTGATGGTATGTCACTTCTGAGATTAGGCCATAGAAGACTGGTTTCAGTCTTGGGCTTGTTTCCACTCTCAGACCACTAAGTCAGTGAGAACCCTATGGAGAGGACCATGTGGTAAAGAATTGAAGCCTCCCAGAACAGCCATGTGAATGAACTTGATAATAGATCTCCAAATCACAGTCAAATCTTCAGAGACTCCATTCCCTGCCTACGGCTTCACTGCAACTCCATGAAAGACCCTGAGGCAGAACTATAGCATCTAAAGCACTCCCGATTCCTCAACCTCATAAATTATGTGAGAAATGTTGTTTTAAGTTGCCAAATTTAGACACAACTTACTATGCAGATATATGTAAGTAGTAAATGTGGATATTGAACATTTGAAATCACATATGAGGTTCATATTATATTTTTATTGGACAGTGCTAGGGCAGACTCAGCGTAACCACTTGCTATGTGATTTGGGGCAAATTACTTGGTGATTCTGTTTTCTCATCTGTAAAGTCTGAATTCAATTAGTAATTTATATATACATAAAAGTGTTTAGAAAAGTTTTATATGTAAAAATATTAAGAACAATGTCTGGTACATCTTTGGTATCTTCATTTGAGTGTGTGTTATGGACAGGATAGGGTAAAGGGTAGTAGAGGATGTTCCATCTCAAACATTTCCTTCATGTCTGCTACCTCCCGAAACAAAATTCCTATACAGCAACAAAATTCATAGAGTATAGTCTAAATATTAAAACAGAAAAATGTCTTTATCTGGCCTTATAATTTTAAGGGTGGTTTTATAGATGCAACTACAGTCTTCCTTCACCATATCATTTGGAGAAAATGTGAACTTGCTGTTTGGGAAAAAAAAAAATCTATGTTCTTCATAAAAATGGTATTGAAACACTCTCAGGCTATTTCTCATGACTAAGAGAATATGTTTATTATTCATGCTCCATAACACTCTGAAAGAGGGACAAATCTTTCCAGGAGGTAATCCAGAAATTTGGAACTTCACTATAAACCACACATGACATGATTTACCAATCTATGGAGATAATGTAATCAACTACCGAATAGGATATATTTTTGTTGCTTTTGGCAAGATTGGCATGTTTTCTAGCTCATAAAATACTTCAGCTAGAAAGAGTGTTTTCTAAAAGCAGTATGTTTTGTTTCATTCATTACTGAAATGATTGCTTATTATTTCTTTTAAAATAATTGAACATTTTTGAGGTGTCAAAAGAGACATATGGAAATAAAATATTAATATAGGATGAAACCAGTGGTGCATATATTTGGAGTTCAGATCCCCATTCAAATTTTAGTAAAAAAAAAAAAGGCTCCAGTATATCCCCTGAAAGTGTGCTTGTCAAACTCTGCAAATCTTTACCCTCTTGACTTTTTCTTGAGCTTGCATTTGCTGAAGCTGCATCTACAAAGCTATGTTTATTGGTCAAAGGCTGGGTATCTTTCCTCAGTAGATTTTCTTTATTTACAAAGAAGTAATTCTGGGCACTCTTGCCAAGGTATTGTCATCTTCAATACTTTTAAATTATTGGATAAATTTGAGGATATATGAGTTTACATACTTTAATACAGAAGAGCAGGTCAATTTTTTTCAAAAGTCGAAAAATTAACCAAATAATTGGAGCAACCTGGGAAGCATTTATTGAAGAAAAATGGCTGAATCTTGGTAAGAACAGCAAACTTTGTGGCACTTTAACTTGTATTCCCATTCTCTCCTCCCCGACACTCAGGTCCACAGTAACCTTGAAAACTAACAACCTGTAATCACGAAAAAATAATCAACTTGACAGTCATAGGAGAAAGCAGTAAGAGGTTGAAGTATCTTCAAAGCTCAATCCCAGAGAATTGTTATTATTTGACATATCTGGTGGCTCTCTGGAAGATCACACTTGCATGGTTGTCTCTTTGATCTCATTTTGAACTCATTATTGGGGAAAGGCTTTTCTCAGAGCACTTGCCAAAAATAATAAAAGAAAATTGTTTAACTTTTGTGGCTACCTGCAGTGATGGGAAAAAAAATAATAGGCTAACCCAAAAACTTAAAAAGAATAGCTGGGAAATGAGATTTCCATAAAAAAAATTGAAAAGTTCCAACATATTCCTAAGAATCCAGAAAGTCACATGAGTAATTTTAAACACATGCCCAGGACTGTTTGCATACGCAAGAAAGACCCACAAAAGCCCTCACCTCTCAATTCTGGCTAACTGAGGCTCTACCTGAGCCCAAATTCAAGGCTAAGCTAGAATTTTCAATTACCTGACTGAGTGTTGACAGAATGTTCCCAAATGAACAACAGAGCCCTTCAACACATACTGAAAACATGGTTTCAACTGTGTAAGTAAATCTCTGTTCAGACATCAGTTGTCCACTAAGCTAACTAAGCAGGGACTTCTGTGGCCACACATGATGGAGAATGCAGACTTTACAGATTTAGTTCAGAAAATTCACTAAACAAACAACTACCAATAACAGCAAGCCCTGGAAAAAGGAAACAATTTGATTATACAATTGCCACATTATAGCATTTAAAACATCCAGTTTCAAACAAAAATTATGAGAAGGCAAAGGAACAAGAAAGTATGACCTGTACACAGTGGGAGAGGGCAAGCAATCAATAGAAGCTGTTCCTGCAGAGTGAGATTCACCAAGAAAAAAAGAGAGAAGATTTAAATAAGCTCAATTAGAAATGAAATTGGAGATATTACAACCAATACCACATAAATACAAAATATCATTCAAAACTGCTATGAACACCTTTATGTGAACAAACTAGAAAATCTAGAGGAATTGGATAAATACCTGGAAGCATACAATCCTCCTAGATTAAATCACAAAGAAATGGAAACCATGAGCAGACCAATAACAAGCAGTGAGATTGAACCAGTAATTTAAAAATTGCCAACCAAAAAAAGCCCAGGGCCAGATAGATTCACAGCTGAATTCTACTAGACATTCCAAGAAGAATTACAACCAATCCTACTGAAACTATTCCAAAAAAATAGAGAAACATAGAATCCTCCCTAAACATTCTATGTAGCCAGTATCATCCTAACACCCAAACCAGGAAAGGCCTTAACAAAAAAAAAGAAAGCTACAGACAAAAATCCCTGAATATAGTTGCAAAAATCCTCAACTAAATATTAGCTAACTAAATCTAATAGCAAATCAAAAAGATAATACATCATTATCACATGAGTTTCATCCCAGGGATGCAGAGATAGTTTAACCCAAGTAAATAAATGTGATACATCACATAAACAGAATTAAAAACAGAAATCACATAATTGTCTCAATAGATGCGGAAAAAGCATTTGATAAAATTCAGCATCTCTTTATGATAGAAACGCTCAAAAAAATAGGTATAGAAGGGACTTAGCTCAAAGTAATAAAAGCCACATATGACAAACCCACAGCCAACATCATACTGAATGGGGAAAAGTTGAAAGCATTCCCACTGAGAACTGGAATAAGACAAGGATGCCAACTTTCACCACTTCTCTTTAACATAGTACTGGAAGTCCTAGCCACAGCAATTAGACCAGAGAAAGAAATAAAGGGCATCCAAATTGGAAAAGAGGAAGTCAAACTGTTGATATTTGCCAATGATATCATCGTACATCTAGAAAAACCTAAAGACTCATCCAAAAAGCTCCCAGATCTGATAAACAAATTTAGCAAAGTCTCAGGTTACAAAATCAATGTACACAAATCAGTAGCACTGCTTTAAATCAACAATGACCAAACTGAGAATCAAATCAAGAACGCAATCCCTTCACAATAGCTGCAAAAGAAACCTAAACAAAAACAAAAACCAACCTTATATTTTAACCAAGGAGGTGAAAGAACTTTATAAGAAAAACTAAAACACACTGCTGAAAGAAATCATCAGTAACACAAACAAATGGAAACACATCCCATGCTCACAGATGGGAAGAGTCAATATTGTGAAAATGACCACACTGCCCAAAGGAATCTACGGATTCAATGCAATTCCCATCAAAATACCAGCATCATTCTTTACAGAATTAGAAAAAGCAATCCTAAAATTTTTATGGAACCAAAAAGAGCCCACAGAGCCAAAGCAATACTAACCAAAAAGAACAGATCTGGAGGGATCACGTTACTCAATTTCAAATTATTATTATTATTATTATTATTATTATCATTATTATTTTATTATACTTTAAGTTTTAGGGTACATGTGCACAATGTGCAGGTTGGTTACATATGTACACGTGTGCCATGTTGGTGTGCTGCACCCATTAACTCGTCATTTAACATTAGGTATATCTCCTAATGCTATCCCTCCCCCCTCCCCCCCACCCCACAACAGGCCCCGGTGTGTGTGTGATGTTCCCCTTCCTGTGTCCATGTGTTCTCATTGTTCAATTCCCACCTATGAATGAGAACATGCGGTGTTTGGTTTTTTTGTCCTTGTGATAGTTTGCTGAGAATGATGGTTTCCAGCTTCATCCATGTCCCTACAAAGGACATGAACTCATCATTTTTTATAGCTGCATAGTATTCCATGGTGTATATGTGCCACATTTTCTTAATCCAGTCTACCATTGTTGGACATTTGGGTTGGTTCCAACTCTTTGCTCTTGTGAATAGTGCTGCAATAAACATACGTGTGCATATGTCTTTATAGCAGCATGATTTATAATCCTTTGGGTATATACCCAGTAATGAGATGGCTGGGTCAAATGGTATTTCTAGTTCTAGATCCCTGAAGAATCGCCACACTGTCTTCCACAATGGTTGAACTAGTTTACAGTCCCACCAACAGTGTAAAAGTGTTCCTATTTCTCCACATCCTCTCCAGCCCCTGTTGTTTCCTGACTTTTTAATGATCGCCATTCTAACTGGTGTGAGATGGTATCTCATTGTGGTTTTGATTTGCATTCCTCTGATGGCCAGTGATGATGAACATTTTTTCACATGTCTGTTGACTGCATAAATGTCTTCTTTTGAGAAGTGTCTGTTCATATCCCTTGCCCACTTTTTGATGGGATTGTTTGTTTTTTTCTTGTAAATTTGTTTGAATTCATCGTAGATTCTGCATATTAGCCCTTTGTCAGATGAGTAGATTGCAAAAATTTCCTCCCATTTTGTCGGTTCCCTGTTCACTCTGATGGTAGTTTCTTTTGCTGTGCAGAAGCTCTTTAGTTTAATTAGATCCCATTTGTCAATTTTGGCTTTTGTTGCCATTGCTTTTGTTGTTTTAGACATGAAGTCCTTGCCCATGCCTATGTCCTGAATGATATTGCCTAGGTTTTCTTCTAGGGTTTTTATGGTTTTAGGTCTAACATTTAAGTCTTTACTCCATCTTGAATTAATTTTTGTATAAGGTGTAAGGAAGGGATCCAGTTTCAGCTTTCTACATATGGCTAGCCAGTTTTCCCAGCACCATTTATTAAATAGGGAATCCTTTCCCCATTTCTTGTTTTTGTCAGGTTTGTCAAAGATCAGATAGTTGTAGATATGCGGCATTATTTCTGAAGGCTCTGTTCCGTTCCATTGGTCTATATCACTGTTTTGGTACCAGTCCCATGCTGTTTTGGTTACTGTAGCCTTGTAGTATAGTTTGAAGTCAGGTAGCGTGATGCCTCCAGCTTTGTTCTTTTGGCTTAGGATTGACTTGGCAATGCGGGCTCTTTTTTGGTACCATATGAACTTTAAAGTAGATGCCATCCCCATCAAGCTACCAATGACTTTCTTCACAGAATTTCAAATTATACTACAAGGCTATAGTCACCAAAACAACATAGTACTTGTATGAAAATATGCACATAGACCAATGGAACAGAATACAGAACCCAAAAATAAAGCCACATACTTACAGTCAGGTGATCATCAACAAAGCATACAAAAACGTAAATTAGGGAAACAATATAATATTCAATAAATGGTGCTAGAAAAACTGTCAAGCCACATGTACAAGAATGAAACTTGATCCCCATTTCTCATGTTATACAAAAATCAACTCAAGATGGGTCAAAGGTTGATATATAAGACCTGAAACCATAAAGTTTTGGAAGATAACATCAGAAAAATTATTCTGGAAATGAGCTTAGGCAAATAATTCATGACTAAGACACCAAAAGCAAATGCCACAAAAATAAATAAATGGGACCTAATTAAACTGAAGAGTTTCCACACAGCAAAAGAAATAAGCAGCAGAGTAAACAGACAACCCACAAAGTGGGAGAAAATATTTGCAAACTATGCATCCAACCAAGGACTAGTATCTAGAATCTATAAGGAACTCAAACAAATAAGCAAGAAGAAAACTAATAATCCCACCAACAAGTGGGCAAATGACATGAACAGCTATTTCTCAAAAGACTATACACATATGAACAACAAACATATGAAAAATGCCCAACATAACTAATAATCAGGGAAATGCAAATTAAAACCACAATGAGATACCACCTTACTCCTGAAAGAATAGCCATAATAAAAAAGTCAAAAAACAATAGATGATAGATGTTGGCATAAATCTCATGAAAAGGAAACACTTTTAGACTGCTGGTGAGAATATAAATTAGTACAACCACTATGGAAAACAGTATGGAGAGTCCTTAAATAACCAAAAGTAGAACAATCTGGCAATTCCATTACTGCATATCTACTCAAAGGAAAAAAAGTCATTGTATGAAAAAGACACATGCATACACATGTTTATAACAGCACAATTCACAATTGCAAAGATATGGAACTGACCTAACTGTCCATCAACCAACAAATGGATTAAAAAATGTAGTATATATACACCATGGAATATTACTCATCTGTAAAAAGAAATGAAATAATGTCTTTTGCAGCAACTTGGATGGAGTTGGATGCAATTATTTTAACTGCAATAACTCAGGAATGAAAAACAAAATATCATATTTTCTCACTTACAAGTAGGAGCTAAGCTATGAGGACACAAAGGCATAAGAGTGATAAATGGAATTTGGGGACTTAGCGGGGAAGGTTGGAAGGGGGTGAGGGATTAAAAGACTACATATTGGGTAGAGTGTTCACTGCTTTGTTGGTGGGTGCACTAAAATCTCAGAAATCACCACTAAAGAACTTATCCATGTAATCAAAAACTACTTGTAACCCTGAATCTATGGAAATAATAATAATAATAATAACATAACCTGTCTCTAAGAAAGCCCAGATATCAGACTTACTAGAGAAGAAAAACTTAAATTAGCTATTTAAAATATATACAAAGAACTAAAGAAAATCGTGTCTACATAACTAGAACAAAAGTATGAGAATAATATCTTACCAAATAGATAACGTAAATCAAATGTGAAGAAAATGCAATTGAGATTATACATTCAGGGGCAGAGGAAAAAAAGTATAAAGAAAAGAACAAAGTCTCAAACACCTATGGGTCACCTTAAAGCATAAGAATATAAGAATAATAGGATTCCTAAAAGGAGAGCAGAGAGAGAGAGGTATAGAAAGAATATATTTTTAAAAAATGGCAAAAACTTTCAAAATTTGATGAAAAACAATCTACACATTCAAGAAACTTAATACACTTCAAGTAGACTAAACTCAAAGATTCATGCCTAGACATGTGATGATCAAATGGTTGAAAATCAAAGACAGCCTTGGAATCTCTCAAAAGAATGAGAAGACAGGCCACGGAATGGGAGAAAATATTTGCAAGAGTCAAATCTGATAAAGACTGTTACCCCAAATATGTAAAGAATTCTTAAAACATAACAAGAAAAACAAGAACTCAATTTTTAAAAAAATGAGCAAAAGACTTGAACAGACACCTCACCAAAGAAGATGTACTGATAGCAAACAAGCATATGAGAAGCATATCCTGAATACATGCCATCAGGGCATTGCAAATTAAAACAATGATATACCATAGGCGTCTACTTATAAAATGTCCAAAATCCAAAATATTGACAAAGCAAAATGCTGGTGAGGATGTGGAACAAAAGAAACTCTCATTTATTGTTTTTGGGAATGCAAAATTGTACAGCTACTTTGGAATATAGTTTGGCAGTTTCTTTAAACTAAACATACTCTTACTATACAGTCCAATAATCACACTCCTTGGTATTTACCCAAAGGAGTTGAAAACACAACCTACCTTAAATGTGCTCAGAACACTTACATTAGCCTGCAGTTAGTAAAAGCAAAATTCAAAATTTGATGTATGCTTTCTATGGAATGCATATTGCTTTTGCATCATGGTAAAGCTGAAAAATTATAATCATGTCATCATACGTCGGGGACTGTCTGTAGTTTGAAAGTAAAAGAATAAAAGATGAGAGACCTTGCAAATATTAACTGAAAGAAAACTGGAGTGACTATACTAATACCAGACAAAATAGACTTTAAAACAAAAATTGCTACTAGAGTCAAAGAATATTATATAATGATAAAAGGGTCACTCCATCAACAAGAGATAACAATTACAAATACATATACCCCTACCATCAGAGCCTGCAAATACATGAAGCAAAAGCTGACAGAATTGAAGGGAAAATAAACAATTCAACAATAGTAGCTGGAAACATCAACACTTCACTTTCAACAATGACTAAAACTAGAAAGAAGATACACAAAGAAATAGAAGACTTGAACAATACACATAAACCAACAGACATCTGTAGAACACTTACCCAACAAAAATAGAAAATATATTCTTCTCAAGTGAATACAGAACATACTCTAGATCATATATTAGTCCAAAAAAAACAAGTCTCAATACATTTAAAAGGATTGAGTCATACAAAATATGTCATCTGACTATAATAGAATAAAATTAGAAATCAATAGCAAAAGGAAATTTTGGGAAATTTACAAATGAGGAAGAATGTTTTAAAATACCATTTGACTTTTTAAGTCAAAAATCTAATTGGGAACTTAAATAGTTTTAAAATAGTATAAATAAAGAGATGCTGCTATTAAAATTTTTGAATAACATTAGTATCTTTGATTTCTATCTTTCTCCTTAGTGCTGATGTAGAAGAATTATCCCTGTATCTGGGATCCCTTTCATCATTATCTAGGAGTTCTCTTTGAAGAAAGAAACTATACCCTGACCAGTGCCAATCACTTTACCTTTCCATTTTCACTCTGTCCTTTACAATAAAACTGTTTTATAAACATCATTTTCAAATTGTCACTTAATAGATGCAAGATTATCATGCTAATTGGAAGTTCAAAAGAATATTCTAAATAGCAACTCCCCAAATTAAACTGTTAGCCAAAAACTAAGTGTTTTCACTATTCTAATAAGAAAAATTCCTTCTACCAAAGATTCTAGTCATTTTAACTTACTAAATATTTATTATGTGCATCTTTTTCTAAATACCATGGGGATTATTGTAATAAATAAGATTCAGATTCTGCCTCAGCAAACTTGTGATCTATTAGACAGATGGTGGTAGTCAGACAAGTACACAAATAGCCTCAATTACATGCAAAATGTGATAAATGCAATGATTAAGGCACGAAAAACTATAGTGATTTAAAAAGGGAATTGTTACATCTAATTAGAGTACTTAAGAGAGGCATCTTATAAAGTAATGGTTCTCAACACTGGCTGCTCATTAGTATCACACTGGGAGCTTTAAGAAACCTTGATGACCAGACTTTGCCACAGAGCAAACAAATCAGAATATCTCATGTAAGTGGCCTGAACATCAGAATTTTTTAAAGCTCCCTAAGTGATTCTAATGTGCAGCCAAATTTGAGAATCATTGTTATAAAAGATGAGTAAGAAAGAAATAGAATTGAACAATGTGGAAAGTTTCATTTGAAAGGGGACTGAATACTAGAGCACTTGAAAAAATCCTCACTTCAATATAGCTAATATATTTTCATTCTTCCAACCTCAGCCCAATTAAAACATTCCCTAAAAAGCTTTTCCTGACTCCTCCAATGACAGTAATAATATCTTAATAATGGTAACAAAAGCTGACACTTTTTTATGCACCTTTCTATATGCCATGTACCTTTCTAAACACTAAATATATTTCAATACGTAGCCCTCCCAATAACACTAGGAGATAGACAGTATTATTATTCCCATTTTACATGAAAGGAGGGTAAATAACTTGTCAAAGTTATTCAGCTAAGAAGTGGCAGAGCTGGGATTCAAGTACAATGGCTGCAGAATCCCTGTTCTGAAACACAACCAACTATAGTCTGATATTCCTTTTCAAGCCCCACAAAGAACACAAGTATACTTCCATCAAACCATGAAACACATCATATTGTTAAGATTTATGAGATTTTTCTCTTCCACTGGTCATTCATTCATTCATTCAGTTAACAATTCCTGAGCACACACTCTGTGCCAGAAATTGTGCTTGGTATCAGAAATACAAAGTCACATGTTCATATTTTATGTCAAGGAGTTTTAGTCTACAGCAGAGGTCAGCAAACTACAGTAGATGAGTCAAATCCTGCTTGTCACCTGTTTTTGTAAATAAAGTTTTATTGAGCCATAGCCATGCTCATTGGTTTATGTATTATCCAGAGCTGCTTTCGTGCTACCACATAAATAGCATAGTGAAATAGGTGTGACAGAGACCCTCTGGCCACAAAACCTAAAAGATTTACTATTTGGCTCTTTATAGAAAAAGTCTGCCAACCCCTAGTGTAAAAAATATGGCAAATGAGAAAGTCATCAATGACTATCCAGTGAGGTGTATGTTATGAGGCCCAACATACTATGGGAACATAAAAGAGAAATCTAGATTAGGTTAGAGGGTCAGCAAAAGTCTTCTAGATGGCATGATATTTGAGCTAGTTTTGGAGGGCTGAGTAGAGTCAATTAGATAAAAAAGACCAGGCCGACTTTTCAGTAATATTAGACAGGCAAGGTCAACGGTGATCCAAGGAGCTAGAGTAATGACAGTAGGAATAGCAAAGAGGGTAGATAGGCTTAAATGATGTTACTTAGTTCTACAGAATTTATGAAAATATATCTTTGATTTCTTGGTTCTCATTATTTAGCACAACTAGTGGTGTGTATATAGTTGGAACTCACTAAATGTTTGTTAACCAAAGAGATTAATTCTTAAGTACAAGATAAACATCTTTCACTTTAAAAAAGGAGAAAATAGTTGCTTTCCATTCGTTCTTAAAATGATCAAACTATAACAATTCCGGATTTTCCCCCCCATTATCCTAGAGTGAAAAACAGACCATTTTTTTCTTGTTTTTGGTTGTGTATATATACATATTAATAACAATATAGTTGTACAAATGATAAGTGGTTGCAATGTGCTGTACCTGGAAAATTCATAGGCAGTTCAAATGGCTGTAGAGACTCACAACCTTCAATCTGCTCACAAATTTCAGCTATGATCTTCTTAACTTTGAGACCAGTAATTTTAATCACTTCTCCTGTTGAAAAACAGCATTCATTTCCAAACATTTCATAAATAGAGCCTAAAAGGAAAGAAAAGTTAAAACAGCTTTTTAAAAAGAAAACAGTGAAAAACAAAGTAGACTCAAAAGCTTAATATAAAGTGTTTTAATTCAGTTCCTCTCTTAGCTACCTGCTAAACAGGAATTTAATCAAGCTTGGCAAAATGTACAGCATAGACCAGAAAAATATTAGATTTTCACTTTATTCACTGGGCCAAATATAAATAAATCTTATTTTTGTTATTTTTGTAAATTGAATTTATGATTTCCTCAGCACCCTCAGCTCATCTTACCATGGTCAAACTACAAACGTATCTTCCACTACTGAGATTTATGATCTGTTTTTGCTGGGTCACAAAATTAAGCTCATATGACTCAAAAATGATCTAAATAACAACTGCAAACAAGGTTGTCATACAATTGGAGATGAAAAAGAGGGTCTGCACACCAGGGCTTCACATTAAGAGGGTCATATTTATTTATTAGATCTGGTTCTCTTCATTAGCATGAAAGTAAAACTTTTTGCCCATTTTTATCTCTTGGTTTTTGACAAGCTAGAAACCATTCTGAGTATCTTTGTGGCGATAGGGGGCAGACCAACCCAGATAAACTGAAAAGCTTCATTTTAGTCAGTATTTCAATCGTCTTCTTGACAAACCTTTTATCATAGATGCTACAGCTAAGTTTTCATTCACTTATTTTCCTTTAATATTCCCTGATGGAAGGACAGTGAGGAGTAAAATAACCACAAGATGAACAACAGCCAAGAGCAGAGGCAAAAATTCTGGATAATCTACCCCCAGTGAAAAGGAAACAACCCAAAAACTATATCTCTGGCATATTATTGCTTTACAATTCAACACTAACTTAAGGCAAGTATAAATAAACATTATAGAGCTGTGAGCTTTTATATATATCAGTTTTTCCTGACTTCCAAGATGATTTACGTTGTCTTTGCCATACTACATGTGAAGTATATGAGCACAGCGTTTTAGGTTTGCTTGTTTGTTTTCTGAATTTTTCTGTGTAGAACCACCTCCTCATAGAATTGTTCCTGATATGTAGCATGCACCTAGAACATTTTTATGGTATTGATGGTTGCCAGAAAAGTTAGTAAGCCTGGTATCCAATCTAGCTCTAAACAACAACTCTGAGGTCATATCAGAGTCCCAATAGGTAACAGGGCACACTCAAATTAGAATAATTTCAGGAAGTTTATCATAGGGGCCATCTTTAAAAAGAGGCACAGCCAGTTCTAGGCAACCAAAGAAAATAAATGTCCTGACCTCACTCTTCTCCATAGGCATCCCATTAGCCAAATTCTGCCAGAAGCCAGAGGACAAGCGAGCTACTAATGTCCCCACAGAAGTCAGCTTCCCAGGCAGAGTGGGTATGAAAATCCAGCACACCCACATTACTGTCCTTATCTGAGCAAGAAGCATTTTTGCAGACAAGAAGAATACATCTAAAGAATACATATTAAGGATAGTCTATCCATTCCTCAAGCTTCCGGTACATATTTCCATAACCCTCTCCTTGTCTCATACTATTCCCTTAACTACATATGTGCTCATATTTTCGTTAACTTTAATGCTTAATGTTATCAGCAGGCTCAAGTCCTTTGTGGAACAAATTGAGGTATTAAAAATACTAATAAATCCACAGTGACATTTTTCCCCCAATTGACTCTGAATGGTTATTTGCTATGATCCTCATTTGGCAATTAATCACATACTAACATTTTATATCTTTAGTATTATCTCACCCTATACTTAATTTTTTATGAGTTTCAGTTTTTATGACTCCCAATTCAATTTTAAACTTCATGAGAAGAAATATTGCATTACTTTCTTGTATGACTACAACACATCAACTTCCCCTGTTCATTCATTCAGCAAACTTTGATTAAAAAAAAAAACCTACTATGTTGGCGATTGGCAATAGGAATCAGAGATAAAATGCATTATTCATTCCCCCCAGAAGCATTGTCTTGAAGGGAAAGAACAATTAAGCAGACAATTGCAACAGATTAGGAGAAGGGTGTAATAAAGGAAATACAGGGCAATGTGGGAGTATACTGAAGGCATTTAATTATGCAATTACATGAAAAAGAGATTAGAGAAGGATTCCTGGAGGAGATGACTGCAGATTTGAGTTTTAAAGGAAGAGTCACAGGACACCAGGACAGGCAGAGGAAATAGTATTTGAAAAGGCACTGAGATGTGAAAGAGCCTGATACATTCTGGAAACTTCAAGTACTTTGTTATGTCTAAAATGTAAGTAAGAAGGAGGAAGTGGTAAAAACAGAGACTAGGGAAGTAGAGGGAGTCCTGATGGTTCAGAGCATTCATTATTGATTCATTATCAATAAATAAAAAAGCAATTTAAAGTATGAAGCAACCACAAAGTCACAGAATCTACATTTCCAGTTATCATGGTCCAAAAACACATTTAAGGACAGGTCATTTGTACTCTAAGTGTTTGCTATACAAACCTTGGTCCACCACATCACCTGAGAGCTTGTTAGAATCTTAGACCCCAGACCTACTGAATCAGAACCTGTGTTTTTAACAAGATCCCTAGATGATTTATAAGGACATTAAGGTTTGCAAACATTGGCCTAGGCAACAAATGGATAACAATATAGTCTCTGTTTGAAATTGTTGCAAAACTAACATAGAGGGGAAAATGTGTTAAGCAGAGAAAGCACTGGGCATCATTGAGTTAGAGGATGTTATAAGTGGAGAGAGGGAAAGGGAAGGCTTTTAAGTAAAGAAGCAAATAGTAAAATTTTTCTTTGTCATATTAAATGGAACATAATCTAACGTAGCCCATTTCAGCTGAAGTCTGTTGGGCTTAATTTCAGTGCACTGATTATCTAATTGTAAATGTAATGTATATCAAATTGGCTGAGTTGGAATGTCATCTTTCTTTTAAAGGTTCAATTGGAATTCAAAATAAAAAGATAAATTTATGTGAGATTTCATATCAATTCACATGGAATAGAAGCCAGAGAATTCTATAAAAAGAAATTTCATGAGTCTTGGTCACCACAAGAAAAGCTTTTGACTCTTCAGGTCTTTTTCCAAGCAAGTCTTTCCTTTTGGAAGAAAAAAGCTCACTTCTTTCAGTCACATAAGGAAAAGACTATCATGTAAATAATAATCTTTTGTAATTTCTCTTTAATATTTCGTGACTTCCAATGTTCTTCAACCAAGAAAGCTGTTAACTCATTTTTAATAAAGAAAGTGTTCAGAGATGTCCAGCACTAGAAAGCTAGAAAGTTATGTCTATGATAGGTGACAGGGACATATAGCAAAGCTTAAGTCGCTAAAACTGGAAATCTTGTATTTTATTATCACCAATATAATGTGTCTTAAAATATATTTTTTCCTTCTTGATAAGTTAAAATGGTGAATTTTAAAAATATCCAACTTTCATTATCTCAAAACAAACACATAATATGTGTAATTGCTTTTAAAAAAATTGCTGAGATATGTGTCTGAAATATATCTGTGTATATATAGACATACATATTAAAATGGCTTTCATTTCATTTTAACCATAAAACATGTATTTTGAATAAGCAAATCTCGAATCTATTAAATCTTTACAGACTGATTCTATCCAAGTCAAAGCATATGTATTCAGAATAATGCCAAACATCAGAGAAAGCTGGAACAAAGCAGCCTGTTTTCAGTGATCAAACATTGCCCCTGAAGGCTGTAATGAAAGAGCCATGTGCCTTTGAAATCACCTTTTCTGTAATGCTACTTTGCTCAATAAAAACGACACATTAATATCCTTTTATGAGCTCATCCCTTGTTTGACAATCCATATAAGCAATGCTGTGATCACATCAGAACAGCCAAAACAATTGGTTCAATAGATTTTCTTCCATCTTCCCTACAAAGTTAAAAACGTGTGACAGTCAGCAAATAGGAAACTGCATTGGATGTTTCTCCCCTTTACTCAAATGCACTCTCCCTCCATTACTGCCTGCCCTACCACCCCCTGCCACTACACCAGGCCACCCATCCCTTTACATCCTTATTAACTTGTCAAAGTCCAACCAATTCCAAAGCTTCAGCCCATATTTATCATTTTCTTCAAAGCCTTCCTTGATCCCTACACCTAAGTAAGAATTAATTCTCTCCTCTGTGCTCTGATAGCACTTCATGCGTATCTCCATTAAAGCCTTATGTGATTATTATCACTCTTTCAATTGGAGTGTTATGTATATTTTGCAATTTATTATGATTTCCTAGAGAAGAGACATTATCTTAACTATATGTATACCTCCCCCACAGCTAGTAAAACAGTTTTTTTTATCACTTATTAGATGATTAGTGAATGTTGTTATAATTTTGTGTCATTGTAAAATGACAATTAATTGTTGTGAACATAATAGTGGTCCTTCTACATAAGGAGTTTAAAGCATGGTCAAGTCAAAGGTTTTTGCATGGGTTATATCTTTATTTGGTATGTTTGATATCAAATATACAAGTGAAGTATATACAAGCTGACTATGTTGTGAATTCTCTAGACAAGGAGTAATGAGGGTAGTGGTTCTATAATATGAATCTCTACTAGTTAAGTTTGCATAAAGAGGGAGCTCATGTGACCATCTGAGATATATTTTTATAAGCTAGGAAATTATATCTGCAAAGTATGGCTGATAGTGTCTGATAGAACCATATCCACTGGGGTTGCCAGTGGAGATGCAACTTTGCTCATTATAAATAGGTGTGATTATTTTTTGCTTCAGGATAGCACAAATTATCAAGAAGGAGCATCCCTCTAAAGGAAATGTTTAAGTGTAAAACTATTTTATTGGCAATTGTGTACCTAGACATGGCAGTTGATGTGGCATTGAGACCATTATGGTGATAAATTCAATTTTCCAAATGAACCTCTAGATAGGCGACCACAGGAATGAAGTTCAAAAGAGGCCATGGTTGCAATAGACATTTATATGGCCAGTCTTCCACAAAGAGATGGTCTGCATTTCCTGTAAGGCAGAGACAATGTCATTCCCACTCTATGAAGAATGTGTCTAAAAATAAGTGAGCATGATATTTTAATGCAGGGTACATATAAGTAGACACGAAAAAGCAAGCTTTCAGCTTTACTAAGGGTGGATACTCCCAGTTGGACACTAGATATAGCACTAAAGGTACATCTGAGAAATGCTAGGAAATGATCTTTCCAGGCCATAGAGACTCTCTCATCCCCAAAATATCAGTATTAAGAAGGCAAGGCATTGGGATTACATAATAAGAAAAGTTATGGCTGTGCTAAGAACTAAGGTAAAATCTCCCTAACCTCTAAGAATATAGGATTTTTCTCGTGAATTGGGGGTTTAAGTATTATCCAGGAAGTCAAGCCTAAAGACTGAAATATGCAAAAGACTGTAGGAAATGTTGGTGAGTCTTACTTAAAACATCTGAACATGGGGAAGCAATAAAAGTTCCTACAGATTGGAAATGCTGGGGCCTGAGAGCCAAAAATAAATAAATAAATAAATAAAATCAGATTAAATAAGTACTAGGACCAAAACCCAGAAAAGAACAACATTTCAGTCACTCTGAGTGATGTGTAAGAAATTCAGGTGACTAAGTTTCAGTGATAGAAGAAGAATAAATCACTGTTTCGTGCATTAGCTAAAAACGTATTTGTTTAATGGTAAATTTATTAATTTAATAGATTAAATAAAACTGTACTAAGAGGGCTTACAAGTGGTTGTCATGATAGAAGTCATCATTGTGGCTCATTGAGTAAACATTATCAGAGCAAAGGGATTTGAGGGTGTGTGTATGAAATAAATATCCCTCCTGTGTATCCACAGAACACTTATCTATGATTGTGGAACAAATCAGTGACTGTGCATCTTCTGATACTATTATTGATCAAATATTTCCCATATTTCACCCAAATTTTTACCCTCAAAATGACATAAATAATATCATAATTTCATGTATAAACAATATTGCTTTGGGAGTTGGCTTATTGTTTTAGGAAGGACTTGGTTTCAAGTACATTTTATACACATCAACATCTCTGCCTACATTTTATATCTTAAATGTTAAATAAATTTAATATAGACATCTATAGCCATTTAAAACCATAAACTTGTTCTCTATTTCCATTTAATGAATACAAATGTACTGACTGCATTGATTATACAGGGACCCTAATGGATTACAGTGTGTTCGCACAATACATACAAAATAAAGCTTCATGTTATTATCTATTTCCCTAACTTTGTTAGCATTAATTAAACACTCCATTAGCTATTCTGCTTGTGAATTATAGTTTAGAAATTGAGAGTAAAGACTGGGCACAGTGGCTCACGCCTGTAAGCCCAGCACTTTGGGAGGCCAAGGTGGGTGGATCACCTGAGTTTAGGAGTTCAAGACCAGCCTGGCCAACATGGTGAAACCTGTCTCTACTAAAAATACAAAAATTAGCCGGTCATGGTGGTGGGTGCCTGTAATCCCAGCTACCTGGGGAGGCTGAGGCAGGAGAATCACTTGAACCCAGGAGGTGAAGGTTGCAGTGAGCTGAGATTGCACCACTGCACTCCAGCCTGGGTGACACAGTAAGACTCCATCTCAAAAAAAAAAAAAAAAAAAAAAGAAAAGAAAGAAAAGAAAAAAAAGAAAGAAAGAAAGGAAATTGAGAGTAAAGGCTTAAAATTTTTAATAAGACATTTGGAGGTCATTAATTGAAATTGTGCTTATATTGTGCATTTTAAAATTTTATTTTTATAACTCATTTTTATTGTATTTTATCAAAGTACTAATTCATGATGGATCAGAAAAGGAAAATGAATTAGGTCTTCACCACGGATAGTTTTGGAAGCACTTCCAGAAGGAATTAAGTGCAAACATATGATCACAGTCAAGGCAGGGAACAAGGATGTAGTCTCAAGGAGTTAGAAAGTTAGAGTAAAATTTCAACATCCTGAAAAAGGAAAGTTATAACCTAATACACAAAGTCTTAATTAGTATTATTAACTCATCTATCTCAATGACACAGCAGCCTGAGTGCCCTAGCTAAAAGACACAGGAATTTTAATCAACTTGACAGTAATAATTCTAATTGCAAGTTATTGTACTGGCATTCTGATTTCTACCTTATATTCTTCTGAGTTGTATGAGTTAATGCTGATCCTAATTGACCATGGATGCTTTGAGTTGCTGGACCTATACAGCTCAGTTCCAAAGCCATAAGCAGGTGAAATCTCCTAGGGAGTAAATTTTTTTTTTTTTTTTTTTTTTGCTCTGTTGCCCAGGCTGGAGTGCAGTGGCGCAAACTCTGCTCATTGCAACCTCCACCTCCTACATTCAAGTGATTCTCCTACTTCACCCTGCCAAGTAGCTGGGATTACAGGCACTCACCACCACGCCCAGATAATTTTTGTATTTTTAGTAGAGACAGGGTTTCACCTTGTTGGCCAGGCTAGTCTTGAACTCCTGACTTCAAGTGATCCACCCACCTCGGCCTCCCAAAGTGCTGAGATTACAGGTGTCAGCCACCCCACCCAGCCCCAGGAGATGAATTCTATGCATTCTACCTAAATAACATACCGAGTAGTCTCCATGACAGAGACAGCAAATATGTGCAGTATATTCTACCATTTGTCCCTCTCATCACTAATCATACAAGGTATATTTTGAGTTGAATCCAGATATGACCTAATAATCCTCAACATCGAGTTCTAGGTGACTATCCATCAGTTGAAGATGGCATGCCAGGTATTAATTATGCCCAGCCCAGTCCAGCACTATGACTTATCTTGCTTTCTTTAAGCACCCTTGGCTAATATTTTTAAAGATTTTAATCCTTAAATTGGGCTAATTTACTCCCAAAGGCTTAGTCAAATGAAATCTGGCAGAAGAATACAGAACCCCTCATTCAATCATTTATTCCAGGTCAGCTGTCTGAATTGAGGCATAAAACTCTAACTTGATAATAATCACAATTGTATATAACCCAATGGCAGTTATAAAATGAGTTTGAATTTCATTTACATCTCTAAGTGCTAGCAACTTTGACGATCTCTCGAATCATTGCATCTCAGCAGGAAAATTTAAATACTCTTTTATCCTATTAATGTATTATGATAACTGAGTCCCCATACAGTATCTGTATCAAGCAGGTGTCCAAATTTTATTTGAACATCTTCAGTGGTGGAATTCCATTTATCTTAAGGTGATCTGCTTTACTTTTGAGCAGCTCTTACTGTTAAAAATTTCTTCATTTTATTAACCTTTATCTGTGCTTATCTGGGATGTACACACTAGAACAGTTGTTTAGCCTTTGAAATCATACAGAAAACAATTATTTTAACTCTTCTACGTAGAAGCCTTAACATGTTTGAAGACAGCTGTTCTTTCTAACAAACAAAGCTGTCAAACAATTGGAGTGTATTCAGGGCCACTGTTTACTGCATAGGTTGCCCATTATAAAACTACCGGAACCACAACTTACATGGATGTGAATGGCATCCTTGGAGTTGTGGAACATGGAATCCTGCTTCTCAAAAATATGTGTACTTAAGTGTTCCAGGAAAGACTAAATAGTAGCTGTCAGAGATGTCCAAAGGAAGTTGCCTGCCAGAAAACTAAAAATCTTTGTGTGAGGAATAACCAGCCGTTTCACACTAGCAATATTTGGCTTTGCCAATCAATGGTCAAAGTAAAACCTACAGTAGAAAAAGTACAAATGTCTTAAATTTGAGCAGCAAATGTAGGGAAATAATACCTTATCAATAGCTGGATTCTTCCCCTGTGTCCCTTCTACCATTAAAGCCAAGACATAAGGATTATTTCCCCAGGAAAGAAAGGAAGTTTTAGTCATTGTTTAGCTCTGAGACTCAAAGACATTTTGAAGACTTAGGGAGATAATTGTCTTGACAAGATAGGCTTTATTAAAATTGAACAATATTTTTCATAATTGTCAAAATCTTTTCATATGAATATAAGAGTCAAATAATGAAAGATGATCTATAGTAGATTATAGACCAAGGGGGGCACAGTGCATGACATAAAGGAATTTACCACCCTGCTGAAAAAAAATTGGGATTTTTTTTTAGTACAAAGAGAAAAAATAAAGCATACTGTGTTTTACTTCCAAAATCTACTCTTTGTGCCAGATCAGAAAAAAAAGTTTTAAAATCAAAGCTTTTGATTTACAAGAGCTGTTTCTTATTGAGAGAAGTAAAAGCCAGGTCTTGAGGAAGGTCATAGAATTTATGCTTTGCAGTTAGTTTGAAAGGGAATAAAATAATCTTAGACTATCTTCTGGGAGAGTGCCAGGGAAGCAGAGAGGTGAGTTCAATAGAGAGGCATCCTGGAGAAGATGAGTTGGGCCTGATTTGAAGACACCATGTGCAGAAGTCCAGAGATTTCTATAAATACCCTACTCAGCATCCCCTGTGATCAGATTCAGGAAGCGGTCACTGTAGATTATGACAAATGACCATCCTAACAAATACTAAATCAACCTGAAGATACAAGATCAGTGTCTCAGCCTCTCAGTTCTGTTTGTTGAAGGCCTCCATCAACACTTACCTGAACGTCCAGCAAAATTATGTTTATCCATATGTATCAAAGGTCCGCATATCCACTCTCAGGTTAATGATTGATTAGGACTCATAGAAGTCAGAAAAGCTGTTATACTCATGGTTACAGTTTACTCAGAGAAACAATACAGATTAAAATGAGCCAGTGAAAAAGGTGCATAGGGCAGAGCCCAAGAGAAATCAGGCACAGGTTTCCAATTGTCCTCTCCCAGTGGAGTCACATGGACAGGGCATCATTCTCCCAGCAGTGATGAGTGACAACATGTACAAACTGTTGCTAACAAGGAAAGTTTACCTGAGCCTTGGGGTCCTGGGATTTTACTGGAGGTTGATCACAAAGGCATGGAGTGCACACACAACTGACCTTAACTACTAAATATGCAGCACCCCCTTAGAGGTCAAACTCATACAGTGTGGCCAAGGACCTCAGGTGAAAAACAAAACAAACAAAACTAAAAAAACAGACATCCACCAAAAATCACCTTGTTAGCATGAGCTATCCATGCTAACAGATGTTAGAGTGGCCAAAGGTCCAAAGTATACAAAACACTCATTGGACAGGATGATCCAAGGGTTTATAAGGTATCTCTAAGGAGCCAGTCAAGACCAGTCCTTTCTTTGGAATGTACATAAAGTTTGAACACCCAAAGCCTGCTGAGTTAACCCTTTACTAAATATCATGTTTCAAGACTTTGTTAAAGCTTGTCAGGAAAAAAGTTGTCCAAGACTTGAAAAGTACAAAAAAGATTACTACATATCCTCTCAGTAGAGAGCTAGATATTGTCTAGCAGACATTTTGGGAATTATCTGATTCTACAGAGGTATACAGCTTATACTGCCTTGTAGAAAATTAATAGAAATGTAAATTATTATCCATAGTAATATAAACAATTATTTTCCACTGCAATAAAATGATTTTTTCCAGTAGATATGTAATTGATCTATGCCTTGTAGAAAAGATACACTAACATTATATGTTTGAGGTTGATAATCAGGTTTAACTATACTGTAATTCATTTTGGCATTTCTGATTTTACTTTTGCTTGTGTGTATGCATGTGTGTTTGAACTGGATTTAACACCTCAATGATTCCCTCACTTAATGAGTTAAAAATCATTTGCACATTCATTTTATGTTTATTTGGCAGTGAGGTTTTTACTTAAGTGAAAAAATTGTATCAGTCTCATATTAGTTGCACAGCATTTGAATGTTCTTTTCAATAAGGTTAATCATTTGTAACAGAATGGAATCCTGGAGTCCCAGAAATGCATTGATAATATGAGGAAAATCTCCAATATTTACATTTGGGTGGAAATGCAGTGTTGTAACTCACACTCCTTATATTTGTAAAATATTGTACTTGATTTATACTTTAGATTTTCTTCCTTATATCTTTTTTAGCTTTGCTTTTTCTTCCTTCGTTTTCTGTTTTATTGAAGTCTTTAATCGAAAGAATAAAGATAGATTAATGATTTAGTTTGTTCTTAAAATACATTAAATTTTATCATATTCATTTATAAAGTGCACTATTCAGTATAAGCTAGCTACATATAGTGTCTATAGTTTTATTCAATAACTAAAAATTCTAAAACAAATACTGATGTACATCATTGTATAGTTATGCTACTTAATAGTTTATTTTTGCAGTCAAATTTTCTCTTTGAATGCTTTTCTTAGCAGATCAAGTCCAAAACAGATAGAATTTCATTATCATTTACTTTGAAGAATGACAAATATTTTAAAACTTTATGCTCAAAAGAGTCACTGAGAAATTTTAAAATAAATAAATTCTAAAGATTCTAAAAAATTAAATTGCCCTTTGGTGGATGAGCTCACTCTCCCCATATTTCCGTATGTTTGAAACCAATGCATAAAGTTTCATAACAAATTGAACTGAGAGATATAATATTTAAAAATACTCAATAATCACTCTTATTGAACAATTTCTATCATCTACTGAAGATCTAATATTATCCATTTCAGAGCACAAAACCAGATATTATCAAAAGATATACACACAAAGAAATAACCAATAAAAGCCAAAAGATCCCTTTTCTTGAGAAACTTACATTCTAGGTAGCTGGAGACAGAAGGGACACACAAATATATAAAGAACAAAAACTGATAAGCTAGTAGACACTAATGCCAGGCACAAAGAGCTTTGGCTAAGGCTACTAAGATTTTTATTTTTATTTTATTTATTTATTTATTTATTTATTTATTTTTTACTTTTGATAGAACTCAGTAGCCAAGAAAGAAAAAAGTTTTCTGTGCTATAGAAAAGGAGATGTAGGTACTCTTTTCTAAAGACTGTTCCTTTCTTTCTTCTAGGGGGAAAATCCTAAAGAATTCTTTTAGTTATATAAGCCATTGTATTCTTGGGAAAACTTTGAGACAATTGATTTGAATGCAGCTGTACTTAGGCAAGTAATTTCTCTATAATATCAACTGATATGTTTGATTATTTGGGATACAAAGTAGTAGATAGAAGAGTTGGTTATGAACTCATCCCCACCAAAGAAAAACCTAGTTCCACTGCTAAAATAAATCCCCAAACAGTTGCTTAAACAACAAAAGAAAATGCTTATTTCTCTCTCTCAACCAGCAATCTAGTGAGAAGTAGACAAGGTTTCTATTGAATTATCATAGGATCTAGGACTTTTTATGTTGCTTTCTTCAACAGATCTCCCATCTTACGTTCTAAGATGACTGCTCTATCTCCTACCATCAAGTCTGAATTTCAGCTAGTGAGAAAGAGAAATGGAGAAGAGAAAACATTCCATTCATTTTAGTAGCTGCAATAGATATTTGACACATGAAACACCTCACAACCTATTGGCCCAAACTTAATCAAGTGGCCACATTAAGATTCAAGAAAGCTACACAATATCATCTTTAGCTGAAACTCTGATACTACAGAAGAAACGGAGAACAGATATAGTTAGCGAACAGCTAACAGTGCCTAACCTAAAAGGTGAGGGAAAGGCATGTATATTTCATTATTTAAATTAGACTATGCTATGCCTGTAAATTTTACATTGTCTTATCGAGGAAAAATGTATATTTTTATTTGAAACACCAAAGTTAAGAGGTCTGTTGCTGAGTCTGAGACTGTAGAATGAAATTTCAAGACTGATGTTTATCTCCACTGAAGGAATTACTATTAAACACACACACACACACACACAATTTTCTTTCTTCATTCATTCCTAGGCATTTAACTAGTTAAAAGTCACAGATGAGAATGCCTTCTCTACAGTCAAGTTCAAATCCAGAATCTCCATTTAATAGATTTGTGACCTCAGGTAATTACTTCACCTGTAAAATAAAGATAGTGCCTCAACTTCGTTATCTTTAACATAAGGAAAATAATATTACCTCAAATGGCTTTTTTGAGCATCAAATAAAATTATTTTACGTGCATAGCCCCGCCCCTGGCATCTATTTAGGGCTTAATAAATATCAACTATTATTATTTTACCATTATTATTTTACATGATGTTTAAGACTGAATAATCCAGTGTAATACAATACTATCATATGCTGGTGGGATTGTCTTGATCAAGATGCAGGGCAGTGTCCTCCTATGGATGGGGCTTTGTTTTCCCTTAATAAAAATTGGTATTTTCTTTGCCAATATTTCTGAGGAAAAGAAAAAAGGAATGGAGAAGATGGACTTAGATTGGGGATAAAGACACCTTCAAGATCAGCATTTCCCAACCTTCCACAAATGAACTCTGGTGTGCCACAAATTGGTTACAGATGTGCCAACATATTGAATTTCTCATTGCTTAAAGTGACCAGCTCAGGTGGATATGGGATGACTCATAGCTTTGGCTGGTGATATCTGGCTACAAGCTGCCTTGTCTATTTATTCCCAGTGTGCCAAACAAATATTCATATTGTGTATAGATGTATCTGTCATAATTTAAAGGGTTGAGAGGAATGGTTCAGGAGCACTCTTAATGGAGACGATAAGCTGTTGTTTTTCATATAGTGGTTGGCTGAGAAGTAACTATTATACCAGGCAAGGGTAGAATCTAGCTTTTCAGAGAGGATCCATGAAAAATACATAAACTTCATTTGCTTATGTGTTGACTTTTAAAAATCTATGCAACTAATTAATTAAATATATGATATATGCCAAACAGAATAACAGTGCTATGTACTACTGATATATTGGTGAGCAAATGATGTTTTCTGAACCTTTATGAAATTTTAATGTGTTAGAAGAAAATATATTAATCAAATAATTATACAAATATACGATTGCAAAGTGATAATAACTATGAATGAACATTGCAAGACATTAAAAGAAAGGGTCTAAGCTTCTGGGTTCTGAAGTATATATGTATGATATTTATTAAACTATTCAATGAGTATTGATATTTATTAAGCTAGTCAACAAGTATTGATGTTCCTCAACTTACCATAGGGTTACATCCAAATAAACCCATCATAAGTTAAAAATATCTTAAGTTGAAAATGCACTTAATACATATAACCTATTGAACATCATAGCTTAGCCTAAACTACCTTAGACATGCTCAGAACGCGTAAAGCACCCCACAGCTGGGTAAAATCATCTAGCAACACAGTGCACTATAGAGTATCAGTTGTTTGCCTTCATGATCATGTAACTGACTGGGAGTGGCAGCTCACTGCCACTGCCCGACATCCAAAGAGAGTATCACACTACATATTGTGGGACCAGGAGAAGACCAAAATTAAAAGTACATTTTCTACTAAATGCATTCTGCTTTTGCACCATCGTAAATCAAACTACTAAGTTGGGGGCTGTCTGTATTTGCGGAGTTCCAGGCATATTAATCTCAAACTTACAGTAAAGTTTTATTCAAAGGCTTCAGCTAGGACTTTCATTTCTGGGAAGATGGAGTAGACATACATTTTCCTACCATCATATGTTCCAGATTTGAAGCTGAAAAAGCTGACAACCTGGAAATGCCAGTGGACACAGACCAAGAAAACCCTCAACAAAAGCCTGTTCTCTTTAGCCAAAGGGCTAGGAAAGGAACATCCTATACAACAACAACAGAAAACCTGTTAAGCAATAACCATTCTAATCTAGCCAAACATCACAGAAAAACAGAACAAAACAAAGCAAAACAAAACACCATTGTCTCTATGCCCACCCACACCAATAAAGGCTGAATAGAGAACTTAGGCCTCGCTCTTTGCCAGGCTGTAACAAGTCACTCCCCCATTTTTTGCTTGGGTGGTGTCAGAAAAGGCAGAGTAAAGAGCTGGGTCTTACATCTTTTGAAGGCAATAACAGTTCCCCAACCCCTGTCAGGGAAATCAGGAGGAGAGCCTGGACTTCCACTCCCATTCGTAAGCACTGATATGTCCTTTCTCCTTCCCACTGAGGTGATGTCAGAGGATCTACTGAAAAATCAGGGACTTGTGCCCAGCACAATCAGGCACTTCCCAGCCGCATGATGTAAGGGGTGGCCAAGAGAGGCCCAGTAATAAGGCAATGCTCGTACCCCTCCCAACATGGCTAGTGTCAATGAAGTCATAGTGAGGGGTCAGCACTCCCATTTCACATAATAAGAATCCTCACTTCCTAAAGTGTCACAGAGCCTGAAAGAGAAACCTGGGATTTTTATCCTACTTGGCAATAATGAGACACTGCTTCCTGCTGTAGCAGTGTCAAAGAAACAAAAAACAGAGAACAAACAGAAAATTAAAAATAAAACAGGAGATGTAAGCTTTGCCATATCAATAGTTACATTAAACGTACCTGATTTAAATACGTTTTTTTAAAAACAAAGATTGGTAGAGTGGATTAAAAAACATAACCCAAAGACATGCTATGACTCACTTCAAATGAAATAGGTAGATTGAAAGAAGATGGATGGAAAATGATATATCATGTGAATATTTATCAACAGAAAGCAGAAGCAGCAATATCAATACCAAATGAAGTAAAATTTAGAGCAAATGAAATTACTAGAGGCAGAGAAAAACATTACATAATGATAAAAGTGTCAATCTACCAGGAAGATAAGGAATCCCAAATATGTATACATCAACCAAAGAACAGGGCTGAGAAATATGTAAAGCAGAAACTGCTCTAACTAAAAAGAGAAATAGACAAATCAACAATTACAGTTGGAGTCTTCAACACCCCTCTTTCAACAACTGATAGAAGAACTAGACAGATTACCTGTAAGGATATAGAAGAACTCCACAACATCATCAAACAACATAATCAAATCTTCCTTTATAGAACACTTTACCTAACAACAGCAAAATACACATTGGTTTCAAGTACCCACAATAACATATGCTGAGATATCCTGTGCCATAAAACAAATCTCAACAAATTTAAAATAATTGAATCATAATATTCTATGACCACAATGAATTAAACTAAAAATCAATAACAGAAAGATACCAAGAAATTCCCCAAACACTTGAAAATGAAACACAACACCTCCAAATAATCCATGAGGCAAAAATAAGAAAAAAAATTTTATATATGCATATAATACATATTTATACCTATATACATACACATACACATACATATATTTATATACACACACTGAACTTAATAAAAATGAAAATACAACATATCAAAGTTGTAGGACATAGCTAAGGCAGTACTGAGAGGATAACTTTTAGCACTGAATGGTGATATTAGAAAAGAGCAATAGCCTCAAATCAGTAATCTAAGCTCATAATTCAAGAATATGGAAAAAGAAACAGAAAAAAATAAAGAAAATCAATGAAGCAAAGAGAAGATTCTTTGAAAATATCAATAAAATTGATAAAATACTAGCAACTCTGAAAAAGAAAAAATGAGAAAAGACACAAATTATCAATAAGAGGATAGCACTACAGAACATTCAGACATCAAAAATGTAATAAGGGAATCAATTTTACCACATAATTTGACAATTTAGTTGAAATAAACCAGTTCCTCCAAAAGAGAAAAAACCAACAAAATATACTACTTCTCATCCAGTATGAAATAGATAACTTGTTCAGTCCGATAACTATTAAGGAAATTTAATTCATATTATAAAACTCCCAAAAAAGAAATCTCCAGGCCCTGATTGTTTCACTGGAAACAATCTGCCAAACTTCTAAGGAAATATTTTCAACAATTCTAGATAATCTCTTTCAGAACATGGAAGGGGGAATACTCACCAATTTAGCTAGTGAAGCTAGTATTGCCATTATACCCAAACCAGACAGACAGCACACATCAAAAAAATAAACAAATAAATAAAATAAACCAATTCATTAATATAGACAAAAATCCTTCACAGAAATTTAGCAAATAGAATCTAGCAATATATAAAAAGAATTATACACCATGACCAAGTGTGGTTAATGCCAGGAATACAAGGCTGGATCAATATCAACAAAGCAATCAATGTAATCTACTACATTAACAGGCTAAAAAAAGGTATGGCAGCAGGTGCAAATGATCATTTCAGTTGATGCAGAAAAATCATTTAACAAAATTTTACACCTATTTATTTAAAAAACAAACTCTTACGCTGGGAGTGGTGGCTCACACCTGTAATCCCAGCACTTTGTGAGACCGAAGCAGGTGGATCACTTGAAGCCAGGAGTTTGAGACCAGCCTGGCCAATATGGTGAAACTCCATCTCTACTAAAAAGACAAAAATTAGCCGGGCACAATGGCAGACACCTGTAATCCCAGTTACTCAGGAGGCTGAGGCAGGAAACCCAGTAAGCAGAGGTTGCAGTGAGCCGAGATTGCGCCACTGCACTGCAGCCTGGGTGACAGAGTGAGACTCTGTCTCAAAAGAAAAAAACAAAAAACTCTCAGAAAAACTAGGAGTACAGAGAAATTGCTTAAATTGGTAAGGATAATCTATAAAACAAACAAGCAAAACAAAAACAAAAACTTTACAGATAAAATTATACTTGGTGGTCAAAACCTGAATGTTTTCTCCCTAAGATCAGAAACAAGTCCAGGCTATCCACTCTAACCACTCTTATGCAAATAGTCCTAGAAATTTTAGCCAGTGCAATAAAGCAAGAAAATAAAATAAAAATCATACACCTTGGAAAGGAAAAAATAAAACAGTCCCTGTTTCCAAATGACATAATTATCTACACAGAAAATCCAAAGGAATCTAAAAAAACAAAACAAAACACTATTAGAACTATTAAGTGAGTTCACCAAAGTTGTAGAATACTAGAATAATATTCAAAAATCAGTTTTATTTCTGAAACTAGCTATGAACCTGTGGATAATGAAATTCAAAATAAAATATTTGTGATTGCTCAAAAAATGAAATACTTAGTCATCAGTGTAATAGAACATGTACAGAACTTGTATGCTGAAAACTAAAAGATGTTGATGTGAGAAATTAATGATCTTAACAAATGGAATGGAAAGACATACTGTTTTCATTCATTGAAAGTCTCAACAACGTAAAGATGTCAATTTTCCTCAAATTGATATACAGGTCAATGCAATTCTTATCAACATTTTTGTAAATTTTTTGTAGGTATAGATGAGATCATTCTGAATTGCATATGGAAAGACAAAGGAACTAGACACGCTAAAACAATTTCGTAAAAGAAGACCAAAGGAGGTAGGAATTCAACTACCCAAGTCAAGACATATTATTTAACTACAGTAATCAGAACTGTATAGTTAGTGGCAGAGGAATAGATATACGTATTAAAGGAAGAAAATGTACTCCCCCAAAAACAGCGCCACAGAAATAAGCCCATCTGATTTTTGACAAATTTGCAAAAGCAATTCAAAAGCAAGCTTTTTAAAGAACAACAACAAAGTACTGGAAAAATTGGACATCCATAAAATTAAAATAATTAACCTAGTACTGGTTACCCTTAAACAATGTAGGGGTTAAGGGCACTGGCCTTGTGCAGTCAAAAATCCATGTTACAGCATCTGTCTTTCCCAAAACTTAACTACTAATAGGCTACTGTTGACTGGAAGCATTCCCAATAACATAAAGTCAATTAACACATATTTTGTATGTTATGTGTATTACATACCGTATTTTTACAATAAAATAAGCTAGCGAAAAGAAAATGTCACTAAGAAAATCATAAGGAATAGAAAATGCATTCATAGTATTGCATTTATTGATACCATAAGTTTACATCATTTGTTTATAAGATCTGTCTGAAATGGTGGGCAGCCATGGCTGCAGACCTCAATCTATGGTACATATCAAGGAATTCAACTTTTTCTTGCAATGTTATGACTTTTGTTTACTTTTTGGGAATACCAATAGCATCATTAGTAGCACTTTGTAGGTCTCATGCTGTTTTCAAGGTTTACGGTATAGCACTATGATGGAACGTTTGTACACGAGAATGAGCTCACTTTTTACTGCAATTCACAATTTGTAGGAGAGGATGAGTACTCAAAAGGAGATGATTAGTGTAACAGGGTGTTTTAATTGGATGCTTCCAACACTTGAGCTCATCACAATAGCAACAGAACAGGGCTACAAAATTATTATGGTAGAACAATATTACTATAGTTAATTTTATGTAGTTGTGATTTAACACTGCATCTGTTACATGTGTTTACCTTTCTCTCAACTGTGACTAGCACCATAAACAGTCTGTAAAGGCATGTGCAAGTTTTGAAAAATGTTAACTTTTTATAATAGATTTGTGTATATTTTATGGTAGTATACGATAAAATAGATTAGTAGCTACATATATTGTATGGATTCATGACATACCTAATTTTCTTAGTTTTTATCTTAAATATTTCTAGGCTACGTTGTGAGTTTTTTCAAATTGTTTCAAATCTCCAAAAAAATCTCCAATATATTTATTTTTAAAAATCTGCATATAAGTGGACCCACAAAATTCAAACCATTTGTTCAAGAGTCAAGTGTACTAAACTTCACATTATACACACACAAATATTGACTCAAAATGGATTCTGAACTTAAATTTGAAAGGAGTTAAGAAGAAGGTATGGCTATAAAAAAGCAACATGGGTGATGTGATGATATAAATATTTTGTCTCTTGACTGTAACAATGTCAATATCCTGGTTGTAATATTGTATTACAGTTTTGTAAGACCTTATCATTGAGGGAAGTTGAGTAAAGCAGGGGTCTGCAACCCCTGGGCCACAGACTGGTGCTGGCCGCACAGCAGGAGGTGAGCAGCTGAACAGCCAGCAAAGCTGAGCTTCACCTTTCATCAGATCAGCGGGCATTAGATTCTCCTAGGAGCAGAAACCCTATTGTGAACTGTGCATGCATGCAGGGGATCTAGGTTGTGTGCTCCTTATAAGAATCTAATAATCTGATGATAAATGTAGTGTGTACTTGAAACATCCCCAAAACCTCTGCCCCTGCAATCAATGGAAAAATTGTCTTTCACGAAACCAGTCCCTGGTCCCAAAAATTTGGGAACCACTGGAGTAAAAGATACATGGGATCTCTTTGTATTATTTCTTACAACTGCATATGAATCTGCATTCATCTCAAAATAAAGAGTTTATTTTGTTTAACTTAAATAAATGTGTGTATGTGTGCAACTTTTGACACCAGTGACAGAGAAAGTCTTTGTCAAACACAGAAGCATGTGCATACAAGGTGAAGTAGTAGAAGAAGCCTCAACACAATGTAGAAACCCCCAAACTGCAGAAAGCCATTAGGGAAGTCAACATAGCAGGGAGAAAGGCGAGTAGGTTTGTTGATATTGGAAATGTGAGTCTCTTCCCACCTTGAGACTTCCAGAGGGACTCCACAGTGGAACTATCCAGTAAAACTTTCTGCAATGTTGGAAATATAATCTGAGCTGCCCAATACTGCAGCTAATAGCCACGTGAGGCTCTTGAGCACTTAAATGTAACTAATGTAACGGAGGAACTCAAGTTTTACATACATTTACTTTTACTTAATTTAAACTTAAAGAGCCACATAGGACTAGTGACTACTGTATTGAACAGCACAGTGGTATAAAAAGATTAAAAACAAAAATGAGAGCTGCAGTTTTGCCATTGGTAGACTGTTTCAGAGCTTTGGTAATTTGGTCATCTATGTGTCATGTGTCACCTTGATTGTCCTCTCATGCCGATGAAGTTAGCAACAAACAAATCGAAGTATAATCCTCTACATAGTTGACATGTGATTATAGCTAAATGAGGTCAGTCTGGATGTCTGGTTATTAATATTGATAGAAAGGGCATTCCAGAAAGTAAAAATACCACTTTTAAGATTTAAACAAATTAATGTGTTAACCGATTATCTGACATCCAATGTTTTCCTACATGATCTGATTACAAAATAAAAATTCAGTGATTGGAGAAAACTCAAGAAGAATATATTGGAAATGCAGGCAATATAGCATTGTTATTGTAAGAAATTTTTCCTCAGTTGTCACAGAGTGGCAAGAGACACTACAGGCAATGAAATGTGTTACAGAGTGAACCAGGCATGCACAAGCGTCTAAATAAGATGACAGCTGCAAATATCAAAATGATCCACCAGCAGGCACTGGCACTAGTGAATTTCAAGTGAAAAAAATAAGATCGAACTGACTTCCAGATTGAGGTGCTGGGGTATTAGGAGAATGATAGGGCACTAAGATTCATTGATGCAGAAAAATAGGGAAGGAAGCAAAGAGTTCAGTTCTTGATATATTGTTTCTTACATCAAATGGTCATCCTTAAACAGAGATGGTCCTGTCTAATTCCTTTTCAACAATTGTTTGCATACAGACTGTCTTAGAATGGGGAAAGTTTTAAAATACAGATTCTTGGGTTATCTTCCAAAATTCTCAACCAGATTCTCCATGGTGAAACCCACAAATATGCAGTATTTTAAAGTTCCTTAGTAAATTGCAAAGTTTGGTTAGGTTTGCAAATATTGTAGCATATTAAGCAGGTAAAGGAAAGTCAGGAGACAACATAAATCAACTTAGAATAGCATATGGATTTAAGAGTTAGTTAAAGATATAGTGTGAAAACAAAACTAAACGAAAGCAATTAACTATGGCTAGATCTGCCTCCACTCAGAGTGACAATAGAGCATCTTGGACATACGTGGAAATAAATTTTTAAGATTATTATAATACCCTTATAATTTACTTAAAATACTTCAGCTAGATAATGAAATACATCTAGGCATATCTCAGAGATATTGCAGATTTGGTTCTAGACCACTGCAATAAATGAATATTACAATAAGGCAAGTCACACAAATTTTTTGGTTTCTCAGTGCATATAAAAATTATATTTACAGTATACTGTAGTCTATTAAGTATCCAATAGAATTATGTCTAAAAAATAATGTATATACCTTAATTTAAAACCAATGTGTTGCTAAAAACTGCTAACAATCCTCTGAGTCTTCAGAGAGTCATAATCTTTTTGCTGGTAGAGGGTCCTGCCTTGATGTTGACGGCCTTGATCTGAATTAGGATTTGGCTAAGAGAATGTTGTGGCTGATGTGATCTTCTATTCACACCACTAAAACTTTCTTATCAGCAATAAGGCTGTTTTTCTTTCTTATCATTCATATATTCACTGGAGTAGTACATTTAATTTCCTTCAAGAACTTTTCCTTTACAATAACAGCTTGACTAACTGCTTGGCACAAGAAGCCTAGCCTTTAGCCTATATTGGCTTTTGACGTTCCTTCCACACTAAGCTTAATCATTTCTAGCTTTTGATTGAAAGTGAGAGAGTATGACTCTTCCTTTCACTTGAACATTTAAGAGGCCAGCATAGGGTTATTAATTTGCCTAATTTCGATATTGTTGTGTCTCAGGGAATAGGCAGACACAAGGAGAGGAAGAGATGGGGAAGAAATGGCTGGTCGAGGGAGCAGTTGGACACACAACATTTATTAAATTTTCCATCTTATATGCTCACTGTTCGTGGTGCCCCAAAACAATAACAATAGTAGCATCAAAGATCATTGATTGCAGATGATTACAACAAATATACTAATGAAAAAGTTTGAAATACTGCAAGAATTACCAAAATGTGGCACAGAGACACAAAGGGAGAACACATTGGTGGAAAATGGTGCCAATAGAATTGCTCGATACAGGTGTGCCACAATCCTTCAATTTGTTAAAAAAGAAAAAGCAATATTTACTTGTGAAGCACAAAAAAAAATGAAGTATGCCTGTATGCATCTGTTCAAGAGTTTTAACCACAGGGAAAGGATCAGGAAAATGCTAGTTCTCATTTGAGATACACTAATCAGAAATAAAACCCAGGGTGGCTACACAACATGCAAAGACTAATCAAAGGTCCATGCTCTTAAAACAACTACCGCAAATATCACATGCTTTTGTTTCCTATTAATACAGGCTTTGTTAATTAGAATAATGGTTTTTAGTAAGGCTGCTTCATGGGTGAAATCAGTGGTGTTCAAAATGTGTTCATTAGTTGCAAATATAACATAGGCATTCCTGTTCTTGCAAAGTGGTATAAGAATCTTGTGAACCCAACATGGGCCCTATGCTCTACCGTTCCAGCTCAGCAGCTGATTCAAAACAGTTTTGTTACCTGATTCTAACTAGAAGGGTAGCTGAATCCTGCTGCTGAAACACAGTTGCAGAAGTCTCTAATGAACTTTTCAGGCAAGGTACTGTCAGACAGCTTCAAAAGACAGCTGGGACTACATCAAGCTGACACGTGGCCATATAGCTGTTATTATATCTATTTGCAAAAAAAAAATGCTTTTTACATTTGGCAAAATTTGATGTTAGACTTTTTTTGGTTGTACTAGGCCTTCAGGTTTATGGGGTAAGAGACTGATAGCTATCATCTACTTTCAAGAACTGAAGGCTATGAGTATCGACCAAAAATAACCAAATTAAGGTGAATGACAAAATGGATTCTGGTCAGTTGGGACCAAAAGTCATTTTCTCCAGAAAGGTTGGCATGAATTTTTTTCTAGTGACTCTTAATAAATAAGATGAGATTAATACTTCTCAATAAATTAATAAATAGAAATTTCTGAATATTACTGAGCAGTGAGCCTGTGGTTTTCTAAAAACATGATGCTTTCTTGAATAATTCTGCTTTGTCTTTCAAAGGGATCTGAATTAGAAAAGCAACTAGCATGAAGCCCAGCAGTAAAAATAAAATGCTATAGGTCACTTGTCAGATGAATGGCATCTATCAGTAGTTAATTTCCACTGTCAGGTTTTTAATGAATTGCTTATTGTTTCTAGTAAGAAGAGAAATTTCTTAACAGCAGAAATTAAAAATTGTATTCTTGTTTATATCTTTGTGGATTAAAATACTAATTTAAATGGTAAAGCCTCTGTTACAATAAGAAGTAATTTGCTAGATGTCAATTTAGGAAAAAAAATCTTTTTCAAAAGAATGCTATTTCTAATGCACAGAGGAAAATGTTCTCTGAGGTATATTACATGAAAATTTCGGTGTTCTAATTATTGTTGACAGAAACAATATCAATCCAGGAATGATCCTCTAACCTGTTGAGCATATGTTAACAAATAGCATATCTTAAAATGCCTTTGTAACTCTTATGTCTAACTCTGCAAGAGGCTTGGACTTTTTTGAGAGTTAGGGCCATGATGATTGTGTGATCTTTATTGCTCCAAATTCAGCATCCTGACAGGTATTAGGTAGCCACTCAAAGAGTGTCAGCTGGATAAATGAATATTCTTGGACATTCATTTACTCATTGATTATCTGTTTCCTTATATTTAAGTATCATGAAGAAAGATAATTGTTGCTCCTGTTAATATGAAAAGAAAGTTTTATTCTTCTCTTTATTGATAATGGCTGAAATAATTTTCTAAAAATGTGTGTAAATGTCTCTGTAAAATGAGATTAGTTTCAGTGATCTAGAATGCTGTGTCACTCTGAAAAAAAAAAAAGAACAGATTTACCAGAAATGTAGAATATTGCTTTTTTAAAAAATGAGCAAATTATTTGCGGGCAGGGTGTAGAAAAAGAAAGAAAAAAAACGAGGACTTAGTGCAGTCGGGGAAGAAGGATGGAGAAGCTGCCTCTGGCCTTCCGTGAGCTGGAGCTGCTGGACTGGATCCTAACCAAGCTGGTCTTCAACTATTTACAACCCGGCTGCCTAGGCCACTTCCACAGTTTGGTATTTTCCCTACCAGCTCCGGGAAATGCGCCCCCACCTCGGGCACCTGATTTCCTCCCAGCTGCGAAGCCCACCCTGCCCAGACTCCTCCCCCGGGTGTAGCCCAGTCACGCAGGTTACAGCCATGCCGTTTTCCTCCATTTTTTAGGCATGCAATGCATGTACAGTTGATCTGCCACTTTTTAGGTGCCATCTCTATTATTATCCTCTAATTATATTATGTATCTTTTCTTTGAATGAAAAATTTGATGGCTGGGGCTTTTATTTTATATGTTCCCCTTTTCCATGCATCATGTTTCACCACAGCATACAACAGGTGCTCAAAGTAAATTTGCGTCAAACAGTACATTAAAATTATCCAATCTCATTTGTCTAAAGTTAAAAGGAGGATGGAAGGGAGGGAAAAATGGAGGGCAAGCCTGTATCTCATCTAAGATTAGTTCAAATTACCATTATTTCAAAATTCCATAAACTCTTTGAGCAAGCCAAATAGCTGCTGATCTTTATTTAATTACTGGAATAAATATATATGCTGTGTTTAGATAGATGGGTTAGGACAACTGTTAGTCATTTTAAAAATCAGGGTGGTTTCTGCTAATGAACAGTTATTTCTGAACTCACATGATTTGATTTCAGGAGTCCTGAGGAAAAAAAAAAAACTTTTTTGAATATGTTTTAAGCTTTTCCTGATGCCAAAAGACAAATTAAAAAAAAAAAAAAAAAGCACTTTGGTCTGTGGTTAGAAGGTTAGAATTCACACATTGTTTATGGGGCAGGTGTTCTTTCCTTAACTGACATAAATGCTGAATCACTAAAACCAACCCTTCTAATGTAGACAAAAAACCTCTTGAGTCCTATCTATTTTTTGTAAGAACCAGAAAATCAGACAGCTAATCTGTTTATGTAGAGTAGCTGAAAATTGCCTCCCAAAAAACTTGTCCTAATAAGTTATTTTTAAAATAACAACAAAAAAGTATTTTTAAGTAATGACTGACCATTTCCATGTAAAAAGTTTTATTTCCTGTGAAAAAGTATTTCATTTAAAGACATTTCATTTCACAACTTTTGTTAAAATCTTAGTTTTAAAAGACGCGATGATTCCAAGTATTTATTGAGTGTGAAACAAATTAGATGTTCCAAGTAAAATGTAAAGTTTTTAAATTCAAGAACTTGACTATTGCATCAAAGCAGACATTTCTAAAATCCAAGTTTTATCATCTTTTTTTGCACACTAACTTGAAGTCACTTTCTTTCCCATCTCAACACTTATTCACTGGTCATTTAGCAGTGCCTAACAAAATCTACCAGTATCATAATATACAAAACCATAAAACTACTAATCTTAAAGTAAGTCTTGCTTTTTATTTTTCTTTAGTGAATGTTTTAAAGTTAAATAATTGACCAATAATTTGTACTTGTTAAAAATGAATTTAGCCAATTAATATCTTTAACCAAAATTTTCATTTCACAGAATTTGAAAATCTAGCAGATAATAAAAAATAAAATTTTACTTAATCTCTTGCTCATTACTTGTTTATACTTACAAAATGAAGGAAGTACATACATAATCTATATTTATAGGATTATAGGAAAAAACATTTGCCAGTACTCCATTTTGTAACTTTGTATTGCATAGTCAAAATTGGTACTTAACAACAAAGAACTTAGTTATCTTTAAGTATGAACACTCTATTATAAATGTAAATCTCATACTCCATTGTACAAAAATGTCCACATTTTGGCACATCTTCACTTAAGTAAATAACACAAAAAGTTTTCTGGCAGTTATTTTCCTCTACAGCTTTTGAAAATAATACAACTGGCATTGCTTTTATCTAAGTTTATTTGCTTGTTTTTAATGCACCTGTTTTAGGGCTTTTTTCTACAATAAGGCCTGCTTAAGCTTAAGCTAAATTTTAGGGAGAAATGTGTTCCATTCAAGCACATATACAAAAATGCACTAAACTTTTAAACTTCAAATTTACATTCTTAAACTTCACATTTTTATCTTTATTTTTAAAAATATAATGGCTACACTAAAAGGTTAACTTTTTATTGACTTCTACTATATATTCCTTGAAGGCATTCCAGTAGACAAGTTATATAGTAGCTGAAGTGTCATCTTATACAGCAAAAAAAAAAAAAAAATGGTCTCCAAGTTTTTAAAGAAAAAAAAAACTCTTCAAACAAGATTATCTTTTTAAGTATGTAGCTAAAATTACTATCTTTGCATAGACTCCCATACTTGGTTTGACTTAGCAATTTTTTAACTTTATGATGATGTGAAAGTAGTACCTATTCAGTAGAAACCATACTTCAAGTACCCAATACAGCCATTCTGTTTTTCATTTTCAGTACAGTATCAATGTGTTACATGAGATATTCAACATTTTATTATAAAATAAGATTTGTGCTCAATTATTTTGCCCAACTGTAGGCTAATGTGAAATTGAACATTTAAGGTTTCCAGATTCTATTCTGACAGTCATTTTAGTGCCCAACCATATAAAATTGACACAAATAGAGAAAATTTAAACTTATTTAAATGTTTTAAGTTTCAGGATATAATAAATTTTACATACTTTACAAGCTTAGATATAGAAAGTTTACAGTTTCCAACATGTGTGAGTTTAGGTTGTCCTGCCTATCTACATGTAAACATGTAAAAAAATTCTACTTTAGAAACGTAATGTTTGTCTTCAATGAATCTTTACAAATACAAGCTCATGTAGAAAAATACTGGTGCTCTCTTTCCATTTAGTTGAAATTATTTTTTTTAAATGTGATAGGCCATATTTCATTAGACTTTAATTTCATTCCACTTGAGTCTAATGAAAAAATATAAATGTTGTAAATTTTAAGAACTTAAAAAAAAGCTTTTGTTTTGTCTAAGTATTTAAAACCTGTGAAATATGAATACATGCGAGTAGAATACAATACTGTGATTTTCAAATTTGCCCTGATTTTACTACCACATCACTGCTTGGTTTATTTGAGCCCGAAAAAATTAAATTCATTTAGCCATAAAATAATTATATGGGCATTAAAGTAGGCATGATTTTTGCTGTATGAACTCTCAGATGCATCAGATCCATAAGAGTCATGTTCATATAATACATAATTCACTAAGCATCATTATTCAACATACTTATTCAATCAGTTGTAGAGTTAATTTTTCAATGTCATATTTATCAAATTGCAATTAGTAATGTTATTAAAAGACAAGACAAACGTAGTTACTACTAGTGATTTCTTATGCATGTTTACTTCAACAACTAAATTTGTGTAGCCAAAATGCCATCAATAAATTGTCATAAAATATCTTACAAGACATTGTTGGTTCTATGATGATAGCATTTCCTATAAGATTTCTCATTTAAACTCTTCAGTAGAGCAGAGCAATAATAAAGTTTACTGTAAGTTTTATCCCTATAGCAGAGGTTGGTGATATGACAAACAGGAGACCCTAAAAAAATGCAAATAATATTAATAATCTCACAAGAGATCTTCAAGGGCTAAATATCTTTATAAATATAATAAATTAACTAATTTAAATAAAAGTAAATATATATGTGTATATATATACATATGAACACTAAATTTACATGTAGCCAAACATACAAATTATTTAATTACATATGTTGCATTATATAGATTCACATATTTATGTATAGACATACACATATAAAATATATATACAGACTCCCATACTTGGTTTGACTTAGCAATTTTTTGACTTTATGATGATGTGAAAGTAGTACCTATTCAGTAGAAACCATACTTCAAGTACTCAATACAGCCATTCTGTTTTTCATTTTCAGTACAGTATCAATGTGTTACATGAGATATTCAACATTTTATTATAAAATAAGATTTGTGCTCAATTATTTTGCCCAACTGTAGGCTAATGTGAGGGTTCTGAGCACATTTAAGGTAGGCTAGGCTACGTTATAATGTTTAGTAGGTTAGGTGTGTTAAATGCAGTTTTGATTTATGATATTTTCAGTTTACAGTTACAGGACACAACACCATCACAAATTGAGGAGCATCTGTGTTATATATATATTATATGTGCTTACACACCCAAATTTATATAAAAAAAGAACATGGCACACTGCCCGGTCCATAGCAAGCCTTCAATAGGTACAGTTTTAATAATCATTAATACCCTACTACAAATCACCTGACAAAACCAAACATTTATTCCTGACATTCTCTCAATCTGGTGCTCTATGCCATTTCTTTTCATCAACAAACTACCCTACACTCTGCTGCTTCTCTTCCAACATGGAGACTAGTTGTTTGGTTTGTTTGTTTTGCTTTACAGGCTGCACTTTGTCCATACTTCCCATGTTGGTGTTCTTTGGGACCCAAGTATTTCTTCCCATGTGGCACATGGACAATAGGACAATCCTTAAAACCACAAGATTTCTTTCACTCATTTGCAAATCCATAATGTCAGCCCTGACAACTCTACCATTCCTTTTGCTTTAGATGTGCATTTTCAGCTATCTAATGTTCATTTGCATGTGAATGTCCTATAAAGGCCTCAAACTCATTGGAATATAACTGAATTAGGCACCCCCTCTTTTAGTTACTCTTTCAATTAATGTTTTTATCATCTACCATACTACTAGTCTAGACTCTTCAACTCCCCCTCTTGCTCACTGCCTTTCATAAGCTGTCAAGTTCAGAATATTCTACCCAAAAGGAACATGGTTTCTGTCTGCACAGCTGCTATTAACCCCTTGCTGTTATCTCTTTCTCATACACTTCTAGTAAATGTCTACTACAATGGATGTCTAATATACTCATCTGAGATGACTTTTTGCCTCGTACTGCCGTAACAAAATACCATAGACTGGGTAGTTTAAATAATAGGAATTTATTTTCTCATAATTCTGTAGACCAGAAGTTCAAGATCAAGGTTCTGGTTGATTCAGTTTCTGGTGAGGCCTCTCTTCTTGGCATGCATACTGACGCCTTCTCTCTGTGCTCACCTGGCCTCACATGGCCTTTCTTCATTGCATGTGTGTATGTGTGCACACACGCATGTGTGCATGTTTACAGAGAGCTTTCTGTATCTCTTCTTATAAGGACCCTAATCCTATCAGATCAGGGCCTCACCTGTGTTACCTCCTTTAACCTAATCACTTCCTTAGAGGCCCCATCTTCTAATGCAGTCACACTAGGGTTTCAACATATAAATTGGAGTGGGGGAGAATACATTCAGTCCATAACACATATTATAAAAATAATGTATTTTTGTAGTTGCCTATTGATTAGAAATTCAAAATCCTCATTATTATTCAAAAGCCATTTAAAATATGACCACAAATGACCTGATTTTCTACTATTCCCTGAGAAGTTTCTGAACCCCCTTTTGAGCTTTAAAACTTGCATAACCTTCTAAACAATTTTCTCTCATTCTGAAAGTTTCTTAGTTACCAGGTTATCTTCTATTTGGGCTTCAAGTCCTAGCAAAATTATTACTACTTCTTGTTAAGCTTTCTCTGACTTTTCTGAGTGGTGAGTTATACTCTCCCCAGTGTTCTCAAACAGTTTATGACAGAGCACCTTTCACATTGTATTATAAATACTGATAAAAAATAAAAAAAACTATCTACTTTTACTAGTCTTTGGAATTTTTAAGGGTAAAGGTCATACTTCATTCATTTTCTAGAAGAAACTAAAGAAGGAAAGAAGAAGAAAGAAAAGGAAGAAATGAAGGGAGATAGATAAACAATACTAGGGAATAATTTCCATGATTTTAACATATTTTTTGCAGGAACAAGAAATAGTATAATATTTAATACATCCAAAATACAGTACTTAAAAATCTTAACTCTGAAGAAGGGAATGACAACTTCTTGGCATTTACAAATTGTTACAAGAAACACTTTTGAGCATCATACTTTTGGGCTGAGTTAAACACAACTATGCTTTGACTTTTACAAATGTGTGTGTGGCTTCATCAACATTTTTCTTTTTGATAAATGGTAAAAATTAGTGGCTCATGCTCTCTAAATTCATAGTTAAGAAAAAAGTTCTACCACTAGATTAGGTGGTTTTGGCTGATTTACTTTGGTATCTACAGTTTCCCCATTGGACATTGCAATGTCCAAAAGAGCCATATGTGGTTCTCCACCATTTTGTCTCTCATATCGTTTCTGATCACTCTCCCCCTCCTTCCAGGCTCATTGGTTTCTCACTTTTCCTATAACATCCCAACACCTTCCTACCATAACATTTTGGTAAAGAGGTTTCCCTCAACTTGAAACACCATTCACCCAGACATTTCTTTGGTTAACTCCCTCACTTCTCCCAAGTAGAGACAGCCTTTTCTACCTGAGTCATTCCCAGCATGCTTTGTAAATGGATTCATAGTTAGGTTTAGTTTTTCCATTAGTTGGATTTACAAATCAAGAAAATTCAGGCTAACTCAAAATGGATTATAGACCCAAAGATAAGAGAGAAAACTCTCCCAAAATAAAACCATGCAGCAAAGGGTTAATTCCATGGACTTGGAGTACTCAACCCTCATATATTCCAAAGAAAGAATTAGCTCTTGACAGTCCTTGAAGCATAAAAGTGTTTTTGTGTATCTGGAACATTGGGCCATACCAGAAAGTTTATGCTAACAACATGACTTCTGGTAAATTCCTGTTTTTGTTCACTTGGGGTCCTGGACCACACTGTATAAGTCTGACATTTGTAGGGGCTGGAGACTGAGTAGCTGAGGTCAGTCCCATGGGCACTCCATGTTTATGAGGCTTTCCACACAAAAAAACCTCGGACATGAAAGTATAGATGAACTTCTCTGGTTGAAACTACTTTGTAAATGTTGTCACGCATCATTGTTAAGAGATTTAAGCACTGTCCATATGTCTCCACTGGGAGAGGATAACTGACAGCTCATGTTTGGTTTCTCCTGAACTCTGCCCTATACTGCTGTTTTCCTTTGCTGACTATCTTTTCTCTGGAATAAATCATAACCATGAGTATAATAGCTTATGTAGTTCGAGTTCTTCTAGAGAATTAGTGAGGGTCATCTTGGGGACCCCCAACAGAAAAACAGTGGAGAAAAGTTTTGTGCTCTCAGGTTAGGTAACATGATACCAAAAGCATGAGCCCTCCCCTACCTCCCCCCCCAAAAAATACATTGGATTTCATCAAAATGTAAAACTTTTTGCTTCAAAGGCAACATAAACAAAATGAAACCACAAGCCACAAAGGAAAGAAAATATGTACAAATTGTATATCTAATATATTTGCAAATCAAATATCCAGAATAAAAAAAGAATTCTTATAACTCAGTAAAAGGAAGACAACACAATTAAAAATGGGTGAATGATTTGAAGAGACATGTGATCAAAGAGGACAAATAAACTGCTAATAAGCATAAGAAAAAGTACTCAACATTAGTTGTCATTAAGGAAATGCAAATTAAAACTACAATGAGATACCACTGGCTATAAAGGGAGAAAATACCAAGTCTTAGCGTGGATGTTAAGAAACTGGGATCCTTATACATTAATGGTAAAAATGTAAAATGACATATTATTCATAATACTTGCAATCATGAAACAATCTGAGTGTCCATCAACTGGTGTTAAACGAAATGTGGTATATCCATACAATAAAATACTATTTACCAATAAAAAGGAACAAAATACTGATGTATGCTACAATATAGATGAACCACAAACACATACTAAGTGAGAGAAGCCAGATAAAAAAGACTGCATATTGTATGACTTACTTTATATGAAATGTCTATAGAAGGCAAATTTATAGACAGAAAGCAGATCAGTTGTTGCCTAGGGCTAGAAATGCCCATAGAGATTAATGGCAAAGAACCCAGGCTAATTCTTTAAGATGATGAAAATGGTCTTAAATCGATGATGATTATACAACTCTATCAATTTACTTAAAACCATTCAGTTGTATACTTATAGTGGTTGAATTTTATGGTATATAAATTATACCTTGATAAAACTGTAAGAAAAATCTAATAAGAGAGGACATAAAAACATGCTATACCTAACTTATACGTAAGAAAGAGCTAGGTGCTTCAGTACAGAGGAAAATGAAGACCGGAATATGGAAGACAGGGAATCCAGGGAAAGGGGAGTAGAAAAATTGCAAGAATAAAGAGGCAGCTGGGGTAAACCTCGTAGAGAAGGGAGTTAGTCAAGTCGATGTCCTGAAGAAGAGTTTTCCAGATGAAAAGTGTGAACAAAGCTTTAAGGCAGGAGAATATCCCCAAATTTGAGGAACAGTGAAGTGGCTAGTATGGCTAGGAGGAGAAGCAGATTAATAAGCAATAAACTCAGATAAATAATGCAACATGGAGACAATGTGGGGACTTATTACCCATATAAGATTTTTATTTTGAGAAAAAATGGAGGGTTTTTAACAGAGGAGTGACATAATCTGACATCCATGATTCTAGATGCTATGTTGAGAATAGATTTTAGAAATGAAAGAAGGAAGAGCATTTAGGAGATTTTGATAATCTTAGCAGTAAATTATGATGGCTTGAACTAAGGGGATAAATGGAAGTTGTGGGAAATTATGGGGTTCCCTATAAAGCATGGGGAAAAGGAATTTGGGCATCAATTTTCTTTTCTTGAAAGTTAATTCATATTTTTATAAAAATTATAACAGAATACATCAAAATGTTAACCATATTTCTCTCTGTTTGGTGGCATTATGGGTAATTATGCATTTCTGCATTTATAAAATTACCAACCATGCACATGTGTTTTTCTAAAGCAAAAAAAAATTAATATCCAGCTCTTCAAAAGAGATCATAATGCAAACCAATTTTGTTTTTTGCCAAATTTTTAAATCAACACCAAAATGGCTACATATACAAAGTCAACAGGGGTAAATGGTAATGTTAGCAATATGAAGAGTAGTTAAAGAAGCAACAGATGCTTCCTGAATAGAGTGATAAAATCACTTTCTTATGAACATGTGGTAGCATTATTACCCAAGTAACTTCCCTGACATTATATGACTCTCTTTAGAATATGCCTGGTTTTGAATTTTTTGAAGTTGATAATAACTTCAGTTCCAGTCATAATAAAAATAATTTATTGTATCAGTGAGAGAAGTGTAGCTTATATTAAGATAACAACTTCAAAATCTCAGAGATTAAACAATAAAGTATATTTCTTATTTCACTACATGTCAGGTACAGGTGGATGAGGACATGTTCTCTGCTAATTATAGTCACTTAGCAACATAGGCTATTGAAGATTTCATTTTGACATAGTCTACCATGATGAAATATGTTTAATTATGAACTGGTTCTTAAAGTATCTGTTCCAAATTATACATATTATTTTTGTTCTCAGTACATTTGCCAATACAAGTCATGTGATCATGTGACCACAAAAGGGTTGGGAAGTACAAGCATACCATGTACTCAAAAGAGGTGGAAAAGTGGAATAGATGAACACCATTTTTTTCCTCAGATTTGTTCTTTGGTTATAAACTGCTCACTTAAAGAACTGAAGAGGACAAGATAGCACAAGTCAATTTATCTATGGCATATGTCATACATAATTATCCACAGCTTTAATCTGAGAGGGACTCATAACATCAATTGTGTTAGCTCCTTGCAGGGATCTCTAAATTGGGCCACATATTCCAAAGAGTATTACAAGATATGAGGTTAAAGTGGAAAATAGTAGAACTTCGTATTCATTTCCACATAAAACAAATAAGAAAACTAAACTATACTAATATTTAACAGAAAGAGTTATATTAGTTAATTTCAAGGTTGCTAGTATTTAATATTAAAAATCCTAATTTATCTCTGCATCGGATAGTCATATGACATGTATGGTAAGTCACATACTAAGATAGATTGGGAATTTCAAAAAATGAGTTAAAGGAATTGTTTTAATTCATTCATTTACTTTCAATATACTACAACATAATGCAGGTGAAGTTAAGTTGATTTAAGAATTGTTATAATCTAATTCTATCTATACTCACTCTCACAAAATAGACATAACGTCACAAGATGCCAACACAGACATTTGAGAATTAAAGATTGCAGGCCCTATCAAGAAGAAAATGATAGAGTGACACGTCTTCTATTAGCACAATCTTGTCATTGTCTGCGTACAACTGCTATCTAATGAAACTGCCAAAATCAGATTTAGGAAGATTATTTCACAACATGAAATTTATGAAGATTATTTCACAGAGTGATAGCCACAAATATTAATGATAAACCTGCTGTATGAGTAGATTACATACAATGTATATTGGACCTTGATGAGGTATCTTCAATAGCTGTCATTCAAAACAAGCACTAAAATAAATTAATTAGAACCATTCGAATCACTGGGTCACATGATAATCAGCATTTTCCAAAACAGTATTCAGTAATAAAAACATGTAGTATTTTCAATAATTTTCAGTAACATGACTTCTGCTAAAAATAGATTGATAGTTAATATGTTTTATTCTCATTCATATGTGGTAGCTAAAAATATTGATCTCATGGAGGGAAGAGAGTAGAATGGTGGTTACCAGAGGCTAGAAAGGGTAGCGGGGAGAAGGGGGTGAAGTGAGATTGGTTAATGGATACAGAAATACAGTTAGCTAGAAGGAATAAAGCCTAGTGTTCAATAGCACAGTAGGGTGATCATAGTGAATAATAACTTATTGTCTATTTCAAAATAACTGGAAGAAAAAATTTGGAATAGTCCCAAAACAAAGAAATGATCAATGTTTGAGGTGAACAGTATCCTAATTACTCTAACTTGATCACGCTGTATGTATGAATCAAAATATTACATGTACCCCATAAATATGTACAATTATTATATATTAATTTAAAAACTAGCTAGTTGTTACAATAGAATTAACAGCTTTTGTGAGAAAAATAGTGTATATTATTAACAAAAATTAAAATTGTATATTATCAATTTTATCTTTCTTTTTTATAATTTTATTATTATGTATGCTTTGGAAGGAATATAAATATCAATAGAGAAATACATGTATGGAAAGCGGCATCCTCTTTTTTTAAATTGATGAGGTTTTTGATCAAATAAAGTCCTGATCAATTAGGTAATGGATAGGGCATTCCAACCACAAGCATCCTCTGTGCCCAAGTTGGATTTTTAATTGCCTAACTTGAAATATCCACTTGGCTGAGTAATAGATATTTATATTTAATATGTCCAAAACAAAACTTTTGTTTTTCTCACTAAAATCTCATCTTCCCCTGGTCTTCATGACTCTGTCAAATACACAAACATTTACCCAGTGGTTTAGGCCAAAATCTTGAATTCATCCTTTAGTCTTTTCATTTTCTCACCTCAATTTCAAATCCATTAGAAAGTCCTTACATTTCGGCCAGGCGCGGTGGCTCACACCTGTAATCCCAGCAGTTTGGGAGGCCAAGGCAGATGGATCACCTGAGGTCAGGAGTTCAAGACCAGCCTGATCAATATGGTGAAATCCTGTCCCTACTAAAAATGCGAAAAAATAATTAACCAGGCCTGGTGGCGGGCACCTGTAGTCCCAGCTACTCGTGAGACTGAGACAGGAAAATCGCTTGAATCCGGGAGGTGGAGGTTGCAGTGAGCTGAGATTGCGCCACTACATTCCAGTCTGGGTGACAGAAAGAGACTCCAGCTCAACAAAAAAAAAAAAAAAAAAGAAAGAAACAAAGAAAAAGAAAGTCCTGACATTTCTACCTCCAAAGCATCTCTTGAACTGTTCCTTTCTCTTCACACTAAATCAAGGCACCATCAACTCTCCTCTAGATTATTGCAGTCTCCTAATATATCATTCCACTTTTGCCTCACTAATGCCTGTTCTCCCCAAAATAGCCAGTGATCTTCCTCAAATGGCAATCAGGTCTTGTCAGTCTGCTGCTCAAACTGGTCATTGGCGTCTCATAAAACCCAAACTCCTTGAAATGCTCTTGCCCACTCCTTAAACCTCTTCTCATATGTTCTTCTCCCTGCTTTATATGTGCTCAAGGTACAGGGATATGTTTTCTCTTCCTCAAACAGACAAAGCTCCTTTTGGTCCCCAGATGTCTGCACTGTCTGTTCACTCTGGAACACTCCAGAACCTAGATCTTTCCTTGGCTGATTCCTTCTCAATATTCAAGTCTCTGCTCCAAAATCATTTCTTCAGAGTGGCCTTCCCTGACCACATTAGTTTACAGGTCCTACGGGTTTCCCAGCCCCACTCTGTACCACATTCAGTGTCACTCTGGCCTTCAAGGCCTACAAGGTCTGGGCCTGCCCACGCCTCAGTCTTTCTCCCACCATCCTTCCCCCAATTCCTTGCCTTCAGCACCACTGGGCTGCTCCCTGTTTCTTATCCAGACCAAGCAAGCTCTTCAGTAGTTTGCACTTGTTCTGTCCTCAGCAGGGATGTTCTTCCAGATGTGGGCAAGGCTTATTTCCTCAGTTTATTCAGGTCCCTGCTCAAATTTCATCAGAGATAATCTGCCCCGGTCACCCTATCAAAAGATCACCTTTCACCTCACCTTGCTTTACTCTCCAGTCAGTGCTTCATGACACTTGTATATATTCTAAATCTAGGTTTGTCATTTGTCCCATTTACTAGAATATAAGCTCCGAGAGGGGAGGGCTTTACTTTTTTTCCCAACTGTAATTCTAGACCCTTTGACAATGCCTGATAATGCATTATTAGGATGTATGTAAGCTATTCCATTCTAGGCTCGCTTAACATTTTTCTATAAAACATGCTTCTATGAGCATTCTAATATAATCATTATTTTGCTTTTTGTAATTGTATTTTAAAATTAATTTCTAGTGATTGGATGTTTATAAACATTTTTCTCTGTAGATAAATATTACCCAGTTGCAACCTCGAAAGTCTGTAACCGTTTACACATTACCAAGTGTGCCTCGGCTCCTTTCCACACATTCATGCCTACAATAACTTTTGTGAATCTTTTAATACCAGTGACCTGAAAGAGAAATAATGATTTATTGTTTCATTAGCATTGTTGATAGTAGATTTGAATTTTTTAATATTAGTATGGTATGTGAACTGCCTTTTACATCTTTATATTCACTTTTGTTTATTGTTATTTAGTAATTCCTTATACATTCAGGATATTTATAGTCTGTTTGCTCTATATTATGTAAATATTCCCCTTGTGTAGAGTTAGTCTTTCTTCCACATTTATGTAGTTTGGGTTTTTTTGGAATAAGGAAGCTTTTTATTTTATAAATTTAATTTTTTCACTTTGTAAAGTTTCAGTTTCACATTTTTATGTGGTTTCTTTAAATGGTTTTATTGTTAATGTTTTACTTTTTACTATTTTTCTTCATATTCAATTTATGTTGGTATATGTAACAGTAGAAAAATTCAAATCAGTTTTGTTTTAATTTTTGAAATAATTGACCAGTTTCTTTACAATATACCAGCATTAAGGTAATAATAATAATAGTTATGATTTACTGAAAGATTGATCTCAGCCAGTCATTTTGCTAAATTCTTTATATGCCATAGCTCAATTAATCTTCACATCATACCTCAAGGTTGTGATAAAACCTATTTTTTGTAACAAAGGACAAATGTTCAATGTTTTAAGTTGACCATGGAATCACCTCTCATTTATAACTTATCCAAGAGGCAGAGTCCTGAGTTTATAACCCACAATTCTGTGCTTCACATCAATAGGGCATAAACGCTTCACATCGATACGGCTCCTAAAATAATAAATGCTTGAGCAACATGTTCTTGTGATGAACATTCTCCCTATTATCACTGTGGTTGTCAACGGCGAGTATTCAATCCAATACTACAGAACCTCACATGATTTGACATCAGCCTCTTTCAAATTTCCTTAAACCTCCCATCCCCCAAAATTTGTCACAGAGTCATCATCACCACAGGACGGGTGGAATCTGGCTCCACTGCCTGAACTGAGACAAAAGGCAGAAAGAGGACAAAGAATATGTTTCCTTCCACATAAAACAAAAAATAGAACCCCAAAATATTGGAAACAAATGCTTAGAAAATGATATACCAAAAGAAAGCTGGAATAGTAACATTTTCTAAAAAAATAGAACCTAAAGAAAAAAAATCATCAAGGAAAAAGGATAATAATACAGTAAAAAGATGTAACTCTCTAACATAGGCACATGGAACAACTGAACCTCAAAAAAATTTTGATGAAATAAAAGACAGAAATGAAGAGTGAACCAGATAGATGTACAACAGATAAAGTAAATGAGAGATTAAGCATATGAAAAATAAGCAGTGAGAGAAATAATTTGAACAAAACAAATAAAAACTCAAGCTATTTGGCATATAAAGAGAGGTGTTATAACAAAAAACAAAGCATACTTTTTTTTAGCACACAGGAAGCATTTCCAAAGTAGAACATGTTTCATACCACAAAGTAAAGGAAACCACAACCAATTCCAAATAAAGACTATCAATCTCGAACAAAATACAATGAAATTATTAATTAAAAGCAAAAGGATAGCAAATAAAATCTTATATGATCACTAAATAAACAAAATTAATAGCTACTGGATTTAAAAAGAAATACATTATAATTAGATCTGAGGAATAATGAAAATGCTACATGGCAAAAGTTATAGGAAACAGTTAAAAATACTTAGAAAAAAATAATAGTTTAAAACACATTTATCAAGAAGCAAAGTATTAAACATGGCTGCCGATTCAACATAGGAGGCTGGAAAAGTAGCAAGAGAGAAAACAGACAAACAAGAAAATAAACGAGACTGAATCAGAAAAAATAAAAGAAACAAAACATAGAGAATATTAACAAAACCAAATTCTAGCTTCTTTTCAAAAAAATTCCATGTTTAGTAGGTCATCCAGGAGCACTCTAACAAATTTTTAAGAAGATGTTAAACCTACTTTTAGAAAATTATCTCAGAAAACAGAAATAGCAAAATTTATGTAACTCATTTTCGGAAGCTAATGTTATCTTAAATCTAAAATGAATAAGTCTATGGGCTCATTTTAATTATGATTAAATGTAAAAATCCTAAATATAATATCAAATTCCTACATTGTATTTCAAAAAGTATATACTTTTTGAAAATACATATATTTATATGAATATATATATTTATATGAAAAAAATGTATATATAATACATATATTTATATGAAAGGATCCTCCAACATTTGAAAAATCTTTAAAGTTAACTCACATAAACACACTAAAGAAAGTAAATCACATTATTATCTTAATAAGCTCAATACCTATTTATTCGGAAAACTCCTAGAAAGCAAAGAATAGTTGGGAACTTCCTTAGTTGAGTAAAGGTTAAACACCAAAATTTAGTACATAATATATTAACAAGGAACTTTAGATGATTTTCTTTATGACTAGGAATAAGACAAGGATTTCCACTATTGCTTGATATAATACTGAAGGCTCTAGCCTGTAATAAAAAGGTAAGAAAAAACATTTGTGGTAAGAAAGAGACACAACTTGATGTTTCTGACATTAATGTCTATTTAAGAAAACCAGTGAAATAAAAAATATAAACTATTAGAATTAACAAGGGAATTTATAAATATTACTAATCGTATTTAACTGCATTTCTTCACTTCAGAGACAATCAATGGGAAAACAGACAAAATACGATCTCAATATAGCAATATATATATACACATGATATAAGTATGTGTGTGTGCATTCTAGGAACTAGCCTAGGATACATAAGAACTCTATAGAGACACTTTTTTAAACTGTGATAAATTATGTAGAAGATATTTTATTCTCTTGTTTAAATGAGAGATAAACTATGCTCATGGATAAAAAGACTTTACTATTAAAAAATTGAAGTCATAATTTAAAACATTTCTATATTAGAAATCTCAGCTCAGGAGGCCTTCATTGAAAATTCTACTAAATATTTAAATAAGCGATAACACCAAAGTTACATAAAATCTTTAGGAAAATAACAAAAGACTCCAACCAAGAAGTTCCGTAAGTTCAACTAACTTGATAATAAAGCCTGGCTAGGATATTACAAAAAAATAAAAACTATAAGCCAATATTATTCCCTAAAAGAGATACAAACATTCTAACAAAAAAAAATAGTAAGCCAAATTCAGTGAAATATGACCCCATTGGTTGTGTTCCACAATTAAAAGCATGTTTAACACTTTTTAATGTAAAAAAAACTATGTAATTATCATAAAAGTTACAAAAAGAATATTTGATAAATGTCAAATATATATTCAAGTTTTTAAAACCTGTTAGAAAACTAGAACTAATTTAACCTAAAACAAACATCATGAATGGTGGATTACTGAAAATTGCTCTCAGTGGTCATGAATGAAATACAGAGATCTTTTTTTTATCATTACCTCTATTCAGTATTATAGTAGAAGCAAAATCCATCAATATTCACAGACAATGCAAATGTACACATAACATATACAAAATGTTAAAGATATATTCTTAAAATTCAATAAGTACAACAAAGAGAAAATGATTTTAAAAATACCATTTAAAATGGCATGAAAAAATCAAATAACTAAGAATAAATCTGAAAAAATACAAGATCTGTACAAAAAATTATAAAATGTTATTGACAGAAATGAAATAGACTTAAATAACTAAAGAGCTATACCAGATTAGTGGGTCAGAAGACTTAATTTAAAATGATGCCAATTTTCTCCAAACCAAAGCACAGCTAATCAAAATTCCAGGAGGACTTTTGAGGAAGTTGATAAGTTAATTCTAAAATGTATGTGAAAATTCAAAGTGCTAAACTTAAAGAGGAATAATAAATTGAGAGAACTTGTTCTAAAGCAGTAGTTATCAAATTTGGCTGTGTGTTATAATCATCAGGAAGATTTTCAAAAACTGATGGTGATGCCTTACCTTTTACATAATTAAATCTTTACCTCTTGAGGAGAAACCTAGGCATTTATATTTTAAAATCAATCCAGGTATTTTTATTTCACAACCAAGTTTGAGAACCATGGCTCTGTAGCATATTATTAAATATAATCTAATAGAAAGTATATATTAGATATTGCATATCCACATTATTTAAGACAGGAAAAATTGATGTAAGGATAGCAAGTAGATGAATAGAACAGCATAAAAGGGAAAAGACCCAGGCATGTATGGACACTATTTCTGAGTAAGGTTAACAGAGTAAGATGATAGAGAAAAGGCAGCTTTTCAATAAATGTCACTGCACCAATTGACTCTGTAGAAGAGAAAAATAAATATTGCTCTCAACTTCAAACCATATACAAAAACATAAACCCAGATAGACTACAGATCTGAAGGTGAGGGTAAACAATAGGATTTCTAGAAGATAATACATATTTTCATGAACTTAGGGTAAAGAAAAAAATTGTTGACAACACAGAAAAAGGAAAATATAAACTGACTACACTAACACGAAAGTGGAAAACTTTCGTCCATTAAAAGACACAATTTTGAAAATAAAATATGAAACTATAGACTAAGAAAGTAATTTGCAACACAGAAAATTGACAAAGAGTAAATATCCCAAATATATATATACACATAAACTCCATCAAATCAATAACAAAAATGTATAAAATTCAACAGAAAAATGAGCAAGAAATATAAACCACCTCTGCAAAAAAGAGTATTTCCAAAAATCCAAGAAATATATGAAAAGGTGCTCAATCTTATTAGTCATCAAGGAGATGAAAACTAAAACCATGAGCTACCACTATACTCTTGCCAGAATGACTAAAATTAAGAAGACTGATAATATCGTGTTACTAAGCATATGAGTTAATTGGAACACAAATATACTGCTTGTAGGAAAGTAAATTGGGTTACTTAAGAAACTTGCTTTTCATTAGCTTCCAAGGGTGAATGTACACACACAATATGACATAGTAATCCTACTTACTTTTATGCCCTACTTAATGCATATACACGTAGGCACACATGTACAAGAATTTTCATGACAAAATTACTGGAAACTCCAAGCCAGAAATAATCCAAATGCCTATTGGCAGTAGAATTAATACATAAATTGTAGTATATTCATCTAATGGAATAACATACACTGAAAATGAATGAACTATATATAAAACAGCATGGATTAGTTTCACAAATATAATGTTAAACAGATATACCAACCAGAAAAGAATACATACTGTAATTTTCCATTTATGTAAGGGTCATAAATGGACAAAAGTCATGATAGTGGTTACACTTGAGGGAGATAGTATATAATGACTGAGAAAGAGCACAGGATAGGGCTTCTGGAATACTTGGAATTTTCTATTTCTGGACCAGGGTGGCAGTTACATGAATGTGTTTACACTGTGAAAATGATCAAGGTATTTAGTTTTTTCCCTCTTAATTGAAGTAAAACATAGTAGTAAAATAATAAGGTATGAAGAAGATGGTCTGGACACATAGAGGGACACTACATTCTTTCTTAAAACAATATAGAATGTCAATTCTTTCCAACTTAATCTACCAAATCAATAAATCCAATAAAAATCCCAGTTAGATTTCTTATAGAATCAATTGATTTAATAAAAACTCATTGAAAAAGTTATGAGATATTATCTCACTTCAGTTAAAATAGCTTTTATCAAAAAGATAAAAAATAATGGATGTTTGAGAGGATGTGGAGAAAAGGGAACGTTTATACTCGATGGGAATGTGTATCAGTACAGTCACTATGAGAAACAGTGTGAAGTTTTCACACACACACACACACAAAAATAGAACTACTTACAACCTAGTAATCCCACTGCTGGATATATATTCAAAAGAAAAGATATCAATATATTACAGATACCTGCATTCACATGTTTTTACAATAGCCAAAATATGAAATCAACTTAAATGTCCATCAACAGATGAATAGACAAATAAAATGTGGAATATTATTCAGCCATAAAAAAGAATGAAATCCTGTCATTTGCAACAACATGGATAGAACTGAAGGACATTAGGTTAAGTGAAATAAGCCAGGCACAGAAAGACAAATATCACATGTTCTCATTAATTTGTGGGAGCTAAAAAAATTGATATCATGGAGATAGAGAGTAGAATGATGGCTACCAGGTGCTGGGAAGGGTAGTGGGAGGGGGATAGAGAGGGGTTGGTTGATTAATGGGTACAGAAACACAGTTAAAAGGAATAAGATCTAGTGTTTGGTAGTACAATAGGGTGACTATAGCTAAAAATAATTTACTGTATATTTCAAAACAACTAGAGTAGTGGAATTGGAATGTTCCTAACATGAAGAAATGGTAAAAGTTTGAGGCAATGAATAATATCCCCATTACTCTGACTTGATTATTACACACTGTATCAAAATATCACATGTATCCCATAAATATGTATATATATTATGTATCTATAAAAACATTTTTAAAGTCTATGAATATCTAAGCCAATTTAGGAAAAAAGGATTGAAAACAAGGGATTGGTCTATACATCATTTCTATATTAACATGTATTGCAAGGCCATAGTTACAAAAATAGTGTGTTTGGGGGCAGCTAAGAAAAAAAATAAACTAATGGAATAGAAGAGATATTTTAGAGACAGACTGATACAGAGGTGAACATATAATATGATTTGAAGGAGGCAACAAAAATCAATGGCGGAAAGATTGTCAGCTTAGCAAATGGTACCTGGAAATCAGGTGAACTGTATAGAGAAAACTAAAATTGGATCCCTGTACAATTCATAACATTGTCCTCCAAATAGACTAAAAACTAAATGCAAAATATGAAACCGTAAAGTTGATAAAAACAACATAGGAAAATATCTTTTTAAAGTAGACATAAAGAAAGACTTTTTACGTAAAGCCTAAAAAACACAAACCATGAGACAAAAAATGATTTGGGGCTGGCTTAGAAATAGAGACATTGATAATATGATTATACACGGCAAAACATAGTCTGATTCCAAAAATCAACTTACAAATTAGTTAAATAAAACTGTACACTAAGCTGATAACAGCCCATATCAATTCATCACCTGCAAGTATGTGTGTGTATATTTTATATATATATATATATATATAATATATATAAAAACTGGAGCTGACGTGTTAATCTTTCTTTTACTTTGCAACATAATATGTAATACATTATTTTGTCTACGAACAAGAAAGACCTGCCTACCAACAGTTAAGTTATTTTCCTGGTAGTTTTGTCTTGATCTGTTTCTACAACTGCTTCAATTCTACCACTCTTGAGGCCAGAAATACACCTACAGAATTATTAATTGTATTCTATGTATTCAAACTAACCATGTAAAGATTCTAGGTTGTATATTGGAGGTTATAATGTTCTTTCACCTGAATTAACATAGTGAGTTACACCAAAACTCACTATCTTATTATTCAATAAGTTTAATTGAACTCTGAGTTTCAACATCAATTTTTAAAAATTATCTTGTAGCAATAATTTCTATACCTTCAAATTAAAATTTTCATTATTTAAGGAATTTGGAGTTAGGCCACTACAGAGTGAGAAAAACATTGGTATAAGCAACATTTAGGAGCTAAAAGTTTGGGAAATATTTGGAAATACTTCTTTCTAAACACTGTGCCTTTGATAGTTGCTTTTGTTTTAGCAAGCTAAATTTTATTTTTTATATTGTGGAAACATAAATATTGATAACTAAATTTATTATTCTTGATTACAACCAATTTCAAAGCAAAGGCAGAAATAGTTCACCATTCAAGGCCTACAGAAAGCTCAAGAAGCTTCACTCAATTCCTTATTTCTGTCTGTCCCAGAGTCCTGTCTAGTTTCTCCCCTCTCCAACACCATTGGCTTTTGACGATTCGTTGGTCAGTTCATTACTTTCTTTTGTGATCGCCTTTCCTTTACCAGAACTCACATATTTGCTGTTAAAATTCCCCCCCTCCAATTTTCAAAAATGTATACTTTACAAGAATGTTCTAGCCAGTAAAGGTATTGGAGAGTGCTTACCTTCAAGATAGATGCCTGCCTGGATTTCTAGAACCCTGGGTAGGGTCCTGAGGTCAAGGGAGTGGACGAATTCTTCCAGTGATAATGCCATTGCTATGCCTTGGGTAGTTTGTAGACCTGGTGCTCACAGAAACTTGTGGCTTCTGGGTGACACTTGTCTGCAATTGCAGCCCCTGCTCACCATTTCTTCCTCAGGCAGGCAGGAATGTCACACTACAGCCAGAGTGGGGTGGAGTAGCTCTATGTGGGGAGGACAATGAAGAGGGAGGGGGGAAGCAGGAGACAAAAAATGTTATAGCTCTTTTTGTTCACATTGTGGCTTCATTTCCTTCTGACATTGAAGTTGAACAGGATGGGGGTGGGGTGAACAGACACTGCCCAAAAAATGAGACGTGCTAAGTAGCGCATTCTGTCCTTTGTTAATCCAGGTGTGCATCTACTATGGTAGCAAAACTGAGGTCAGAGTTGCTTGTGGCTTGCCCACCAACAAAGAACAGGAATATAGGACTAAAGTCTAATCTTAAAAATGGCACCATGTGAATTCATTATCTCTCTAGTTCATTTCTAAAGCTTGGCTTTGTGCCTTATTTGCATACTGTCAGTGCCTTTACATTAAAATTGGTAATAAAAGTGCTTTGCGTCAGCTCTTTTTAGAATTCTGATACTATACTCTGGAGAGAGTATTGAAACCACTTTTTATTCTTCCACATTAAAAATTTTGCTGAATCTTAAAGGAGGGTAGGGTAGGGATAGAATATGCAAAATGATACAGTAAATTAACAAAGTACATTAAAATGAGTTTTCTAATCTCTACACTATAGTAGAAAGTATTAAAATTACTTGTCAGGAAACCTGCATTTTCTGGGTTTAGTTCTGCTTTTGATTTACAGGCTAACGTCAGCCTTGTCTTCTCTGATTTTCATTTGTTTTATTTACTAAATGGAGATGAAGTAGAAGAGTCCAATAAATTTTATAATTTCTTCCAAGTTCACAATTCCACAATTCTGATCTTATTGTTGAAATTTAGGAGGGGAAATGATCAGCACCAAAGGAAGCAGGAGAAAACTCATGAACATTGATCTCTTCAAAATCCTGCCCCTCTCTATTTTTTGCATGTAACTGAAACAATATTTAAAATATATACAATTAAAGGTGGTAGTTCCTAAGTCTCTTTAAGGTAAAGTAGAAGAATATTGGTTGAGGCTGGGTACGGTGGCTCATACCTGTAGTCCCAGCACTTTAGGAGGCTGAGGTAGGAGAATTGCTTGAGCCCAAGAATTCAAAACCAGCCTGGGCAACATAGTGAGACTTTGTCTCTACAAAAAAATTAAAAAATTAGCCAGGCATGGTGGCACATGCCTGTAGTCCCAGCTGTGAGGAGGCTGAGGAAGGAGGATCACTTGAGCCCTGGAGTTTGAGGCTACAGTGAGTTGTGAACATGCCACTGCATTCCAGGCTGAATGACACAGCAAGACTCTGTCTCAAAAAAAAAAAAAAAAAAAAATAAAGAATACTGGTTGGTATGTATACACTTGAAAGATGACAGGAATCTACACGTTTTCTTTAGTAACCAAACCCAGGCACTTATCTATTAACTGTTTTGGCCTTAGGCTGCAGAGAGCATAGCCACATACAGAGGGTCAGGGGACATCTCAGTTCTACCATGGCCATCATGTAAATGACCTAGAAAGATAAAAACTGCCTAGTTTTGATATGGAGCTTATAAAACTGTTTCAACTCTTTGTAATCCTATTTGACATTTTCAATAATCAGTCCAGCTTCATTTCTTTCTTTATAAAAGTAGAATTTACGATTGACCACATCAACAGGTTTACTATCATTAGATTCAAATTCCTCACTGGCAACTTTTTTGTCCAAAAATGTCCTACCCTTGATCTGTCTGCCTTCCATACCCCTCCCCACAGTTTACAGCCTAGTAGTGTATTTCATGTGGATGAATACATGAAAGAGGCTTCTGTGGACTGCTCCTTAAAAATTATGAATCCGTTAGAACTGATGCCACAATACATTTCATTTGATATCTAATGCAAGCTGGATATCACTTATTTTTTTAATATTCCCAAGTCAAATTTCTATCCTACTAGCCAAACAGCCATTTCGTATCACCAATCTCTTACAATTACCTAGGCTCCATCTGCTTCTGCTCTCGCGACAGATGACGCTCTCTCTGTGATAATCATCTTCGTATTCTCAGTCTTAATTAATGACACTGCTATTCTCTTAGTTTCCCAAGCCGGAAGGCTTAGAATCATGTGAGATGCCATTTTTTTTCTCTAGCCGTTAAATCCATCAGGCCCTATAGATGGCAATACTCAGTACCACTCACTCTGTCTTTGCTCTATATCCCCACTGCTACTGCTTTAGACCAGATCGTAATCACTTCTGACACACAGGCAAAAAAATCCTGATGTGAGCAGCCAAGTTAAGGTTGACAAAGAAGAGCAATGAGTTCAAGAGTACTTGAATCATCAAGTAAAATGAATTATTGAAGTTTGGTCATTAGAACAGCATGTTATAGGTGTAATAATAGATTAACGAGAATTTTAAAAAAAAAACTAGACTGTATATAATAATTTACTATTTGAAAAAGGTGAAATTCCAAGGCAGTGGGAAAGAATGTTTTATTCAACAAATGGTTGTTAAATAATTGGGGAGAAAATTTCCCTAACTTTCCATGCAATGAAATTAAAGTTAGATACATTTTAAAATTAAATTTAAATAAAAATAAACCAGAGGGGAAAAATAGGAAAATGTCTGGAAAAGGGTAAGAAAATAACTATTTCTGAGTAGTAATTGAAGGAAAAAACTAATAATATATTTGACAACTAACTTATGAAATACTCCTGTAAATCAAAAAGGAGTTTGAACAAAATAGAAAAAAAAAAAAGCACATCCTTCAAATAAACAATGGCTTAGGTGGGTAAAGGCCACTTGTTAGTCAATATGCAAAATAAAAATATTCAAAGACTTCTATTTCTGGCTATGAGCTTGTATCTGACCACGTTTTCTACCAAAGGCACCTAGAAGAGCTGTATACTTTTTAAAAAAGCTGTTTTAAGAAACAAGAGAGCTGTCAGGGTGCAGAACATGAGAGGCCAAGATCCTGTAAAGCAGAGCAGAACCATTAGAGGAACTCCATATTCTGCACTTCTTTTCCCTCAAGGCTTTTATGGGTTAGTAACTGGCACCAAGAGAGAGTCTGAGAAGGCAAAAACTGGTGGCTCAGGAGGAGAGAACCTGAGTTGAGTTTTTGGCAGTTTCACATAGCAAAAGAGACCAAAATAAATTGGACTTTGGGAAGTAGCAATTCCTCCAGGAAAAGTCAGAGAAAGGTATTGCTCAGCACCACTTTTTCCCCTTAAAATTTTTTTGCTCATTGAAAGCAGTACAGGGTTGATTGTATGAGACACAAACAAGAGCATGGTTGGTAGGAAGCTGAAGAAGCCAAGGAGTGCTTTCAGCAGTCTTGCAGAACTGGGAAGCCAGGGCCAGCCAAGGAGGGAGCAGGAGTCACAACAAATGCCTGTGTTCTCAGTTGGGGCTCCTGAAGGCTGCTTCCTAAGAGAAAGGGTTGCCTATAAATAGAACTAGCTTTACAAAAACTGAAGCTTAGACTAAAATTAGCTCAATCCCTCATTGGATTAAAGTGGTCTGCCCCTATTCTTGCTGCCAGATAGAAGCAAATGTAAATCCTCCTGTTGAGGAAAAGCAGCCAGAACTTCTGTAATATTTAAAAATACAACATCTATAATTAAGTATGAAATGAATGGGAATGCCAGAAGACAGGACAGAGAAAGACAGAGAGAAGGGAGACCACAGAAACAAACTCATGGGGTAATTCCGATATTGGAATTATTAGTCCTGCAATTTAAGATAATTTTGATAAACATGTTCAAAACTAGAAGACAAGAAGGAGAAAAGAACTGCCATCTATAGAAAGTATCGGATGAAAATTCTAGAGTTAAAAAATACAGTAACTGAAATTAAAAATTCAATAATTGGTTTTAACAGCAAATGGGACATACAGTAAGAGAGGATTGTTGAACTGGAAATGGGAGCGTAGGAAATATCTGCTCTCTCTCTTTCTCTCTCACTCTCTCTCTCTCTATCTATCTATCTCTGTGTCTCTGCAGAGAGATATTTCAGCCATAGTGGAAAGATCTTATATGTAAACTGAGTCCCAACGTGAGAGGAGAAATAATAGTGGGAGAAGAAATATTTTAAGAGATAATAGCTGAAGATTTTCCAAAGTTGAAAAAGGCATCAATCCATAGATTCAAGCCTTGCCAACACCACCAAGGAGGATAAATGCAAAAGAAGGCACACTAAGGAACATCATACTAAAACGTTAAAAAGCCAAAGTCAAAGAGAATATCTTAAATGCACTCTGAAGAAAAGAAATTGTCACTTTCAAAGGATCACCAATAAGATGATAGCTGACTTACTAACAAAAACCAATAAGGGTAGAACACAATGGAATACCATCATTAAAATGCTGAAAGAAACCAACTACCAACTTGATATTCTAAATCCAGAGACGCATGAAAGCAACAGCAAAATAAAGACATTTTCAGACAAACAAAAACTAAGAAAATTCATCACCAGTAAACTCTCACTAAAAGAAATACTATAAAGGGTGTTCTGCAGGCGAAAGTAAAATGATCTCAGACAGAAAGTCAAGACCACAGGAAGGAATGAAGAGGGTGAATATGTCAGTGAACTGAATATATTGAGTTCCCAAAACAATAATTAATGGCTTGTGGAGTTTTGAATATATCTGCACTATATATAGTTCATGCAATATATTGTAAAATATAGCAGTAATGCAAAAGCAAAACTGATAATGAAGTTAAAATGTTCTAAAGCATTAGCCTTCTAGAGAAGTTGCAAAAGTGATGTTTAATATCAGAGTTAAATAAATAAAAACACATGTAATTTCTAGGAAAGCCACTAAAAATGGTAAATGAATGATAAAATTAATTAATCCAAAAAAGACGAGAAAGAAAAGAAAAAGAACCTCAAAATTGCTAGCAAACATTATGATGGTATACATAAACTCAATTATACTCTTAAAATAATTTAAATGAAATAATTACATTTAAATGAAATAATTTAAATGTAATTAAATGAAATAATTTAAATGTAATTTAAATTAAATAATTTAAATGAAATAATTTTTACAAATAAAAATTAAATAGTTTAATAGTTCAAGTAATAAACTAATGTTGGCAGATAACATTTAAACACATAAATCTACTTAAAAATATACAATTTAGTTATAAGTTTATAGAAAGTCTAAAGATGAAAAAATGGGAAAATAAATACCATAAGACATTAAGCAAAAGAAAGCTCATGAAACTACATCAATATTACATCAATTAGATTTAAAGACAAGAAGGATTATAAAAGATAATAAGGTTATTTGTTTAATAATGAAAGGGTGACCAATTCTTAAAGAAAATTCACAGCTTTCAATAATATACCTTCAAAATATCTAAAGCAAAATTGACCAAATGAATGGAATCAGAGTAAAAACCAACCTGACAGAAAAAGCAAATATTTATTTCATAAAATTCATACTGTTAATGGTGCAATGTTTAGTCACTCATCTATATTACAAACTGTTGTGATCTATCTTGAAATCAATTTGATGTAGCAATTTCACATTTAGATATAATCAGATACACACAAAGATTTATTTATACCATCAACTGAAGCATTTATTACTTTAATGACCAAAAAAAGGAGGAGAAAAGAAAAGAAAATGCATTTCACATTACCCTAATAATTCAAACAGGGAAGTTCCTGTTGGAAAAAAAATATTGTCCTCACACCAGTCTTGCTACTACTTAACACATCTTTTTAAAATTTCTGCTAAAGAACAGAGAAGGACTTGGCTATGAAATGATGATTAAATTATAGTTAGTATCATTATTGCCAATGATTTCTATCCCAAGAGAAGTATTGTTGAAAAGAAAAAGAAAAGAAAAATGGCTCAAAGCAAACTTTACGTAAAATACCAATTCGTTTGTTAGATTCTCTATAGCTGCTTTCCTAAAAAGTAAGTAGAACTGTCTGAATGTTAAAAAACAAAAAAAAAAATTCACAAGCAGAGAAATAAGCTTCAGCAGTAGAGGCTTAAAACTATATTATAATATTTCAGTGCAATGTAATATTTCTTTGAGTAAAGAATAAACCCTTATCTCCAAGTAGATAGTATCGGAAAAAAACAAAAACGAAGAAATCTTAGAGATTATTCTGACTGGTATCTAAATCATTCATTCTCTGAAACTTTCTTTTCATTGGTTATTTCTAAAGAAGAAAAAATTAGGCTTATAGGAATCACTCCTGTGATTTTGGATTAACCAAAAGGTGCCATTTATTGGTTCGTCATTGAAAGGTTTACAGCATTTCTACCTACAAAATAAGCTTGCTCTGGGGAATCATACAATACCATTAGGGCATTAGGCTCGGATTTTTTTTTTTTTTTTTTTTTTTTTTTTTGCATGAGCGACATTTCAGGGATATCCTGCTGTTGTGTGACACCTGGCAGCTCAAGATTTGTATCTCATAGATTCAAGTGCAATGGAAGAGACTACCTTCTCCTAGTTATACCTGGAAAAGTCCCAGGATAAACTGTGATTGATCAAACTTGGCTCACATGTATATGTCTCAGCCAATCATTATGACTAGAAAATGAAATATGCTAATTTCCCATAATTTCAGGTTCACGGGCTCTACTTTGGATTTTATTAGGCAGTTGTCTCAGCTAAATCACAAAAAGTGTTGGAAGAGGAGATATATCAAAGGGAAATAAGTGAGCTAATTACCCAAAAGAGAAGGAATGGGTATGTGATAAACAAAATCATAGTACACCCACCAAAAATGTTCCCAGTGCCATAAATGGCTTCCATTTGAAATACCTTGATCACCATTCTCTTCTGTCTCCAACCATATGTACATTCTTCTTTTTATTTTATTTTATTTTATTTTTTTGAGATGGAATCTTGCTCTGTTGCAGCACCCAGCTAATTTTTTATATTTTTAGTAAAGACGGGGTTTCATTCTTAATTTATAAGAATGAATATGAATTATTTTAATAACCTTGAAAGAAAATAAAATCCTACTATACACAACAATTTGTTTTGTCAAAATGCAACATGCAAAATGCAACCGCCTATGAATGTGTTCATTCATCACCACCTGGTTTTCAAAGAAGCTCCTGCCTCCCGGCACTTTTAGTTTCCTTTTGAATAAAACTCAATGTAGGATTCATGTTTCTTCCCATGTAAGTTTCTTTTTTGATCATCCTTTTTTCTAAATTAATGTTTAATTGTCCTTTCAGCAAACCACTGAACTCTTCCTCTATGCTTGTCATTATACAAGGCACTGAGAATATAAGCCCTTAGAGACATTACATTTTAGCTGACCATGCCCACAAGTTAAGAATCACAATCCAATGTATACAGTTCAGGAACTTCAAGAATTAGGAAGGGGTCTCCCCAGGAAGAGTGTTCCTCAGATTAATCTTAAAGGGTAAAAAGCAGTCAAGTAGATGAGCCTGCTCACCATGAGGAGACTTGACTCAACTGAGTCGATCTGCGTATTTTTTTACACGCAGTTCTGCCTACTGCTCGGTGCCACAGAACAGGAGCACAGGTTGAAATGTCTTGCAAAGTGCAATGTGAATGTTGGTGTTACCGTATGAATTATGCCCTGACATTTTCCCTTGCTGTAGGACTCAACCTTTCCTCAGAACCATGAAATAAAAAATGAAGCCCTTATATTCATAAGAGATTTTCCAGTTCTTCCCTTTAAATGGTGGAGGTCCTGTGATGTAACTCTAACATTTTCCTCTGACTTTTATATAGCATTTGTGAAAAGCTTAACTGCAATATGTCTGTAGAAAGGGTATGCCCACTTTAACAGCTCTTTTCTCTTTTCTCTTTTTTTTTCACATTTGTTATCTCTTATAACTGAGAGAAACTCAAAGATGCCATTTGCGTTTTGATGTGCTAACATTTTAGAGCCTCACAGAAACAATTCAGTCCTGTATTATTAAAAGTAGAGCTTAAAACATTTAAAATAGTTATCTATTACAAATTAAGCACTGATAAGTTGCCAATTGCTTACAAAAAATCAACTTTCCTTTTAGATTTCAGACCTAAAAATTAAATAATATATTAAGTATATATATTACAAAAATAAAATATTAAAATATGCATTAAATACAAATTATCTAGTTTAGTAAATTCAACTTAGGATATGTATTTATTTAACCCAAGTTAGTTTATTGGGCAACAGACCATTTGCTTAACCTGACAAATGTATACATGAAACTGTGAGTTACAAATAACTTTTTTTCACCTGGTGCCACTAGACTGAGTCGGGGAAGTTACTCGGTGATATGGTTTGATTCTGTGTCCCCACCTAAGACTCACCTTGAATTGTAATAATACCCACATGTCAAGAGTGGGACCAGGTAGAGACAGTTGAATCATGGGGGCAGTTTCATCATCCTGTTCTCATGATAGTGAGTGAGTTCTCACGAGATCTGATGGTTTTATAAGGAGCTTCCCCCTTCACTTGGCACTCATTCTCCTTCATACTGCCATGTGAAGAAGGACATGTTTGCTTTGCCTTCCACCATGATTGTAAGTTTCCTGAGGCTTCCCCAGCCCTGTGGAACTGTGAATCAATTAAACCTCTTTCCTTTATAAATTAGCTAGTCCTGGGTATCCTTATAGCAGCATGAGAACAGACTAATACACTTGGTAACCAAAGCTTTGTAATATTAACAGTATATTTAACAGTCCCAGTCAAATGAATTACTGGGAAAAGTAATAGAGATGGCAACAAAAACAAACACATAAACATAAAACAACAACTATACACACACAAAGGAGAATGGTGATGGGTGCAGGTTGGTCAGGATTCTTATTTCCACAGTGTTTTAAAAACCTGAAGAACCTACTTTGTTCACTTGATACATCAGCAATACATGGTTGAGGACATTTTGTTTCTCAAAAGTACTCCTATTTTACAAACTAAGATAATGATACACAATTTGCCTGAGATAATTTTCAAAGTTGGAAAAGTCATAGATCCAGTAACAGAAAAACCTGGGCAGGAACTATTACACTTACCCACAAAATTTAATCTCTTGAGAAACTCTCAGTAAAAAAAAATCTCAAAGGGATTGAAAAGGTAGCAACAGAAGAGATTTATAGATTCACTTTATAGAAAAATAATAGCTTTAGCTTTCATTATTTTCTAGTGCATCTAATTTCCTTTTTAAATATATAAACTAGCTAAGACTAAGTAAAAGGCTTGTTATAGATGATGTTTTTTTATAAAGAATTACAGTCATAGTTCAGACTACCTTCTCAGTGTCTCTTTTTTCCAATTAAACTCTGAGAGCATTGCAACAAGCCTCATCATTTTGTAAGCTCATTGTCTTAGAAGATGTATTTATTTCATTCTTAGGAATTACATATTTATCTTTAAGAATTTGTTATTAGGGAAGAAAATTCTTGCTATAAACAGTTACAATCTCATTACGTAAGTATTGTTTTCTGATAGCAAGTATTCAAAAGTAATTGAATATTTTTATCCATTCCCACAACGTTATTTCCAGAATAAAGCTCTCTGAATAGAGCCAGGAAATGGAGAATCTGTTTCTACTATCACCATGCCTTAGGGAAGATAATTAGATGACTGTACATTTGAAATGGAGTTTATAAAATACAGCAACCATAATTTTTTAAAATAATTATTTGAGAATAGGTTATAGAATCATAGAAAAGTTGCAGAGATAGTACAGAGATTTCCTGTATACCCATACAAACACCTGTTTCCTTTATTTTAACACTTTACATTATGATGGTGCATTTGTCACAATGTAGAAGCCAATATTGAGATATTATTATTATTAGCTAAACTTCATACTTCACTAAAATTTTATTAGATTTTGCTAACGTCATTTTTCCTTTTTAGGATCCCATTCAGGATACCCCATTGCCTTTGGCCATTATGTCTCCCTAGGCTCCTGGGAGCTGTGGTAGTTTCTCAGACATTCCTTGTTTCTGATGACCTTGACAATTTGAGGGATACTGGTTAGGCATTTTGTAGAATGTGCCTCAATTTCAGTCTGTCTGATGTTTTTCTCATGGTTCACCTTGGGTTATGGGTTTGGGGAGGAAGACCACAGAGGTAAATTAGTTCTCATTCTGTCATATCAAAATTATAGACTATCAACATAATCTATCACTGATAATGTTAACTTTATCTGACTAAGGTAGTGTTTGCCAAGTTTCTCCACAGTATTGTTACCTTTCCCCTCTTTTCACACTGTTCTCCATGAAAACAAGTCATTAAGTGTAGCCTACACTTAAAGGGGAGGAACTTACACTGTAGCTCCTTGAGGGAGGAATATCTACGTAAATAATTTGGAGAATTTTAAAGGAGATATTTCTGTCTTCTCCTTCATTTATTTATTTATTTATTTATTTAATCATGAGTTTATTTATATCAGCATGGGTTTATGGATATATATATTATATATATCCATGAATATTTTATACCTATCCATGGATATATATTTTATACTTTAAGTTATAATCTGATACTGCTTTTAAAACTTATTTTGTGCTCAAATTGTTTCAGCTTTGATCACTGTATACACACACATATAAATATTTCTACATGTATTCATCTGTATTTACATAAGAATGTAAACGTAAGTTCATACTGATATTGCCTACTCTAATCCAATACTACATGGTTCATTCTAGCCTTCCTCCTTGGCTTATTTCTATCCTTCCACTCCAGTTGTGGGGTTTGGGAACCTCTGCCTACATTTCAAAGGATGTATGGAAATGCCAGGATGTCCAGGCAGAAGTTTACCGTGGAGGCAGAAGCCTTATGGAGAACTTTGCTAGGGCAGTGCAGAAGGGAGGGAGCCCCCACACAGAGTCCCCACTGGGACACTGCCTAGTGGAGCTATAAGAAGGGGGCCATTGTCCTTCAGACCCCAGAATGGTAGATCCACCAACAGCTTGCAACACACACCTAGAAAAGCCACAGATATTGTGTAGAATGTGCCTCAATTTCAGTTTGTCTGATGTTTTTCTCATGGTTCACCTTGGGTTATGGGTTTGCAGCTGGTGAAAGCAGCCAGAAGATGGGAAGTACCCTGCAAAGTCATGGGGCAGAACTACCCAAGGCTACAGGAACCCACCTCTTGCATCAGCATGATCTGGATGTGAGACATGGTGTCAAAGGAAATCATTTTGGAACTTTAAGGTTTAATGACTGCCCTATTGGATTTTAGACTTGCATGAGACCTGTAACCCCTTTGTTTTGGCCAATTTCTCCCATTTAAAATAGGTGTGTTTACTCAATGTTTCTACCCCCATAGTACCTAGGAAGTAACTAAATTGCCTTTGATTTTACAGGCTCATAAGTGGAGGGAACTTGCCTTGTTTCAGATGAGGCCGAAACTGCTATTGCAAAATTGTAACTGAGACAGTGAAAGAGATTTGACTAACTCCATCTTGCTTCTAACCTCCAAGCTGTCCTTGTTCATTCCTGGGAGCAGGCTGAGTTAACTTTGGGAAGAAATTTGGAAGTCAATCTGCATCTTACTCAAGTTCTGAGTCACATATGTAGGCTGAGATAATTGAAGATCTGTGTAAGTTACCTTGTTATTTCCAAGCTTCCATATTATTTTAGACCCAGGGATGACTTGTAACCAGAATTGGTCTGAGAAGTGCCATGAGAAACCCAAACCTGTCTTTGAGAATTCTCAAACCTCTTAATCTGGAATATGACCTACTTCTATGGCCTAACTTAAATTATTAATACACATAATACACAACTGAAAAAAGTTTAAAGGTGTTAAGCAAATGTAAGAGGAAAATCTATAATCTTCCTGAAAATATGACAAATTTTGTATACCTGTTTGTATTTTATAATAGTGCCTGTAGGCCAAATGTTGTTTGTTTTGCCTTACAAAGTCCAACTGCTTTCATGTTGAAGTTAAAACCTCCAGATCTTAGCCTGAATTCCAATGCTTCTACCATGAATCTTCTCGTCTAAGCAAAGTGGATGACTTGCTCTTCCAGATCTGTATCCCTAATGCAGTGAGAAAAGATTGTTATGAATTACTTTTCTCAGGGGTCTGACTAGGATATTTTTCCATGCCTGAATGACATCAGTGGCCAAGTGAACGTAATGCTCTGCTGGCCAGATTAGGTCACAGGACCATTACGACATTGGACATGAAATGCCTGGACATAGAGCAGAGCATCAAGTAATCCCTCATAAAAGAGGAAATAGATACTGGATGGAAAAAAAAAGTCTCTTATACTCATCACTTAAGTTCTAGTTCCTTTACCTCTATGAAGCCTTTTCTAATCTTTATATTATTTTCACAATTCTCTCTTCCTTTTCAGTTTCCATTCGCTGAATATTTTTTATGTGTCCATTTGCATGCTTTTTCCTTTGTTCCTGAATTCTACATTTAGGGAAAGGAGATTTGGGTCTACTTTGATTGGATGCACTCAATAGCTCCAAATACCTTCACCAGCACTATGCTAAGAAATGTTTTCAAAAAAAACAAATGAATGGACTTGACATATTTGTTGTATTTAATTGAATAATCTGAACCTGAACCAGGTTAAATTCTACCTACATTCTTACCTTCTCCTCCCCAAGATGACAGAATAGAATCATGACCAGACCTGGACACAGGCCAATGTTAGAGTGTTTGTCTCACTGAGAGATTTCTCCGTTGAAGTAAACTGTAAATTCAGGCTTTTAATCACCAAAGCATTATTTAATCTGTATTTGAAGTAAATATGAACTTCATAAATAAGCTGAATATTTTTCTCTTGTATAACATTTTACAGCTCATGCATTAGAATTCAATCACAAGTACTCTATTTTAGAATACCAGTATTGATTGGAAATGATGATCAAGGACTGTGTGCTTGCTAGAACTTAATTGGGAGAAAATATTGCTCCTAAACTCCTTAGCAAACAGCACATAAAATGGTGGAGGCCAAGTCTTATACAGGTTGAGAATTTATCTGATATGCTTGGGACAAAAAATGATTCAGATTCTTTTAAGATTTTGGAATATTTCCATATACATAATGAAATATCTTGGGGATGGGGCCCAAGTTTAAATACAAAGTTTATTTATGTTTTGTAGACACCTTATACACATAACCTGAATGTAATTTTATACAATATTTTTAATAATTTTGTGCATGAAACAAAGTTTTGAATGAGTTTTGACTTCAACATGAGGCTAGACTTGTAATTTTCCACTGTGTTGTCATGTTGGTGCTCAAAAAGTTTCAGATTTTGGAGCATTTTGGATTTTTGGATTTGCAGATCAGAAATGCTCAACCTGTATTGCTCTCCTGGAAACGCATGTCTGTGAAGATACTAAGAAAAACATAGTTTTTCTTTTTCTTGCCACTTTGTAAATTCCTAAGGGACGATTTCATTATGAAACATAGTCATGTGTCACTTAACAATGAGATATGTTCTGAGAAATGCATCCTCAGGCAATTTCATTGTTGCGTTAATCATAGAGTGTGCTTACACAAACCTAGGTGTGTACTTTTACTGCACACCTAGGCCATCAGGTATAGCCTATTGCTCCTAGGCTACAAGCCTGTATAGCATGTTACTGTCTGAATGATGTAGGCAACTGTAACACAGTGGTGTTTTTGTGTCTAGACATATCTAAACATAGAAAAAGGCACAGTGTAAACATGGTATTATAATCTTAAGGGACTACCATCACATATGTAGTCCATCGTTGACCAAACATTAATATAAGGAATGAAAGGAACTTTCAAATGTATGTAAATGACATTTGCCGCCTTTGTTCCCACTTTACAGTAAAGTTACATGCTTTTCTACAGTAGAGCCAGGAGGTAACTATATAATCTTCATAAAGTTCTATTTTGTTTGAAACAAAGTAATATTACAGATAAAGTGCCAAGTAAAATATTTTATGTGTGCCTGCTATGGTTATCACAACAGTAATTGACCAGAAACACACTTTGACCTGATTTTACACATTACTAGTGAATCTGAAAAGCTGCTACTTATTGATATTGAACCATTTTTAGAATCAAGTTTATATAATTTTAATCTTACACAGATTGAGGTCCCATTGTAACAGTTCGTCATTGATGGATCCATTTTTGTCCTATTTTTAGGAAATTTACTTTTAGAAGAACCACAGAAAACACTTTTGAAGCTTTTACTGGGGTGTGGAAGGAGGTTTATCATACTTCCCCTTTGGAAAAAAAACAAAATTGAAAACAGACATAGAAGCAAAATGATGACAGTATAGTATCATTTTGTTGTTGTTTGTTTGTTTGTTTTGGTACAACTAGGCTAAAGAACATACATATAATCATGCGCTAAAGACCATATATGTAATTATGGGCTAAAATTGGAGCTTCCAACCACTGTCCCCTAAGTTTGTGGCTTGGTATTGACAGCTGAAAGAGTTGAATTTCCAGATTCTACACTTAGGAACATTCACAGATTTCACAGGCCTTGTTCGGGCCTATTGCTATTCGGCCCTGATTTGGTCATACTTACTAAGTAAAGGCAGGGCAAATAAAGATGATGGGCTCTGTACTCTGCTTGGGGCAGGAGGGGGCTAGGGGTGGGGAGAGAGAGGGTCAGAGAGAAAGAGAGAGAGAGAGAGAGAGAGAGAGAGAGAGAACTTGAGCTACACATAAACCTTTAATACCAATTGTGCCAGAAAAGAAACTTCTCGGGTAGAAGCACATGAGAAAAAAGAATGAGCAGCTGGGTGTGGTGGCTCACGCCTGTAATCCCAGCACTTTGGGAGGCCAAGGTGGGTGGATCACCAGAGGTCAGAAGTTCGAGACCAGCCTGCCCAACATGACGAAACCCCGTCTCTACTAAAAATACAAAAATTAGTCAGGCGTGGTGGCACACGCCTGTAATCCCAGCTACTCGGGAGGCTGAGGCAGGAGAATCGTTTGAACTCAGGAGGCAGAGGTTGCAGTGAGCCGAGATTGTGCCACCACAATCCAGCCTTGGTGACAGAGCACCACTCCGTCTCAAAACTAATAATAAAAGAAAAAAGAATGAGCAAATTTGTTTTTTCCCCCTAAAACTAGGTGTCAGAACTTTCTATTTTTTGGGCAATGCAAGTCTGCCCAAAGTTACAAAATTAACCCTATATTTGTTTAATTAAAAATATGATTTTATATTACGAGACCTAGAGAAGGAGTTAGAAAAAGTTTAATTTTTTTATATTATAATTAAATATATCTATGAAAAAAATAAACCTAGGGAATGAGTTAGAAATAATTATATAGATATGTATGTATATGTATATATGCACATATATATTTATAATAAAATACTTTTATTGAAAACAATTATAGCTATATTACAATAAAAAGTCACTGCCCACCCAGTCCCCACCACTGTCCTCCATCAAACCCCAATTTTTGTTTGTGGTTCCTCCTGTCATGGCAGAGAGGCAACTGGAATTCTGCCTGGGATAAGGTGAAGATGATTAATGGTGCCTTCCTATCCCAACCTCTGTTCACTGCAATGGTTGACACAGAGGTCCTTCTGCCTGGTTTAAGAGGGGCATGATCAAAGCTAGAACTGTATCCTTTCTGTGGGAAACTTAAATGGGTACAGTAAGACAAAGAGAGTAAGAAAAATAAAATGGATAGAATTTATTCATTTCAGTGGCTGACAATGCTCAGACAAAATAGTGAATTACTGCTTGCTGTGCTGTTAGATTCTAAATCTCATACCTCCATATTCTGGCAGAGCCAGTGAACTCTCTAATATCCATAAAATAAATTTCCTTTTTGCTTAAGCCAGAGTCGGTTTCTGTTGCTCACAGCCAAGGACCTCAAATAATGTACTACCAGGGAATTATTTCCGATTGCTTTGAGTCAGAGGACAAGCTATTAGGCTGGTGCAAAAGTTGTTGTAGTTTTAAAAACACACTAAAAGTAATGGCAAAATCACAATAGAAGCTATTATGTTAATGGACAGTACACTTAGGCTCAAGTCCACTGACAAGCATCAGAAACTTCAAGATTAGGACTAGAATCAAAGAGTTTGCTTTTGCAAAAGCATTGATGTTAAAATTTAGTCTATAGGGTCTAGAAAAAGGGAATGGAGAAAAACAAACCAAAAAAGCTTTTAAGAGTTGTATTTCCACAGAAAACTAAGCTTGACAAAGTACTGGATTATTCAGTTGCTAAGATCTTCCCGAGTCTCACAAACTATAGCAGAAAGATTACAAAATGGGTTGGTCCTCAACACAACCTGAGATGTAGGTGGAAGTCAAGGAGAGCAGAATGGAGTCAGTCCCCCAGTTACATTTTGGGTCGGTAGGCAGGCAATAGATGCTTCTAGTAACAACTTCTATATCAATTAGGATCCTTTGGTTGCAAGCTACATAAATCAACAATAATTAAAGAAATGTGGGGAATTTATTGGATGAATAAGATATACAGAATTGATAGGATGCTGAAAACAGGACAGGAACCGGGGCAGTAGAATCTGGAATGTGTGATTACTGAACCTAGCCTTTCACATTAACTCCAAAATCAGCAGTGAGAAGTGCTTCCTTGTGTCAAAGTTCCTCTTGATGACCATTGTTTTAGGTACTTTTAATCTATCTGCCCAGCTCCTAGTCATGAGAATTCTCCTTCTCTTGGAGTAATCAGCAGGGATGTCCCTTTCAGCCACAGTTATATCATCTGATCACTTTCAAGACCATGGTTAGTTGAAGAGAGACCAACACCTGAAACAAGCAGGGCCAATCACATTCTCTTCCCCAGAAATTTAGAATTTGAACTAAAAGATATACTGGAAATCAGAAATTGTGTCATTAAAGATAAAACTTCTGAAGAACTAGCCACAAATTCCTGCTTCCGAGGAAGCTGTTACTTTCCCTGACTTCCTCATTCTAAGAGTCTAGTGGTTCAGCATTTCCTTGGATTCCATGAGATATAATAGGTTTCTAATAAATTTATCCTTTCTACTTACATTTGCATATGTCAGCTTATTTCACTCTTATCTGAGAGAGCCCTAATCAATACACTGTAGTAAAAGTCCTCATTGCAAGGATAAGTATTGATTTTTAAGAATCATGTACAATTAGAGTAAATTTGGAAGTCATTCTTCTTTAGCTATATTCTTGGATAGGTCCTAATCCCAGCATAGAGAGTGGCCCATTAATAACTAAACACTGAAGGCTCCAAGGCACAGACTTGCAACATTAAAAATAAACAAACCCAGGCATAATGCGTGCCTGCAATTAGCATTCTAATCCTAAAGAAAGATAATTTAAGGATTATCAACTTGACCCTGCTGGTAACTAATATTTTTCAGAGAAATTTTCTTCTAGGCTAAGTCTTTATAACTGACCATTTAAAGCAAGAAAACCCTGAGAGTATATAAATAATTAGAGATAGCCCTGGCCCATAAAATCTTATGCAAGAGATATTATCCCACAAAGAGCTGTACCTTTGATCAGAGAGGCTGATGTTAATGATCATTATCTGCGTAAGAGCACTGGAGCATCCCAGGTGTTTTCCTCCTCTCCTGTAGAAAATAAGGGATCCAGGAAGAGCCTCTCACCCCTACCCACCAGCCAAAGAGACTAATGCAAATATAAATCTCGTAATTGTAAGTATAAACCTTGAGTCTGCAGAACACTTTATCTGTGAACCTGTTGTGTCTACAAAGTGGGTGGGGCTTCTAAATTTTGATGTGGTTAAACCCATGTTGTACCAGATTCAGTATTTCCTGCAATGCTAGCTGGAAATAACAGCAACCAATTCCAGTTATTTAACCTAAAGATTAAAATTATTACAAGAGTTCAGAATTGTTTAAAGGCAAGCATGCTGTTGTGGATCAGGTAAAAACTGGAACCACAAATTGAAAGCCTTCTGGAACTTGAAGTGTGCTGTCTCCATCTTTCTTTTTTTGTTTTCTCTGTATGTCATGAAAGAGCCTAAGTAGCTCCCCCACATTCACTCAGCTAGTTTGTAATAGAGCTGAAAGTGAAATCCAAACCTTTTGACTTTAGTGTTGAGCAACTGCTACTTTCCTTTACTCTCCACCTTGAGGGCAACTATATAAAATCAGCTATGCAAATCTAACTCCTTCCATGTTTTACTAAATGGTAAATTGCTCTAAATAAATAGGTACTAAATGAGGTTGATGAGTAGCTGCACAAAAACTCACTAATTCCATTTTCCCTCCTGTCTGCTTGTTTTACAACATGATATGTTGTAGTAGGTAGAGTCCTAGACGATGAAGCCATATAGTCCCAGCTCTGCACCTCACTAGGCAGACCCTCAGCAAGTCATTTAAACTCTCCAAGTCAGAACATTGTGCTAACAGAAATAAGCCAGGCACAGAAAAACAAATACCCCATGATCTCATTTATATGTGGAATCTAAAAACGTTAATCTGGGGTGAGTGTGTGGGATGGGATAGGGAGAAGAGGATAGTTGGGGAGGGAGGGATCACTACTAATGGTTATGGTGTTTCTTTTTCCTGTGATGAAAATATTCTCAAATTGATTGTGGTGATGCTTGCACAGCTCTGTGAACATAAGAAGAATCATTGATTATACATTTTAGATGGATGAATTTTGTGATACATGAATTATGTCTCAATAAAGCTGTTTTTACAAAGAATAAAATAATACTAATAAACTCTCCAAGTCTTGGCTTTCTCATCTTTAAAAAAAAAGATAGTAATTGTATGTTCCCCACGGGAGATACAATTTATGAATGAACAATTTACAAGTGCTTATGAATGCTGTGAGAGTTAAATGAGATAGCATACATCCATAGTGCACCAGTCCATGGTAAACCTTTGCAGGGTAGTAGCTATCAGTATCTCTAGTCTCATGTTAGTCCTCTAAACAACTCTGCCATCCCATCTCCAGTTCAAAACACATACACTATGGCTTCGAGGATTCTCAAAGCAGGGATCTTTATATTGATAAAAACAATCTTTTAGTGTTTTTGTGGAGGAGGTGAGGTAAACGACAAATTGACATTCATTTTGCCTTAAACCAAGTGTCAAAGTCTGGCTTCCCAAAGAGAATGGCCAGTATTTTGGGCGCAGCTGTCAAATCTTCCCAATTTACACAGATGCAACAGAACCTGTGAATTAACCTGTGGCATTTACCAAAGCCAACCCCTGCCAAAAACAAATCTCTCTCCTCCTGGCATACTGAATAAGAGATAGGGATGCATTAAACATTTACGAAGACACTTCAAGAGAGTCTCAGGTAACAGGAAGTGTTCTGAGATTGATTTGCCATGCTTTGAGTGCACAGAAGACAGAGGGAGACACACAGGGAATGTTCCTGAGACTTTTTCTTTTCAATCATCCTCCTCTGTGACTTTTACCCTATAATTTATTTTTAAAGAGGCATCATAGTTTTCTGGGTGCCATAACAAAATCTAAAATAAATGTTTTCACCTAGATAAGCACTATTAAAAGGAAAGGATACTGAATTCATTTGAATACATTTACAGAAGATTGATTTTCCCAAGGGAATGTACCTATCCTATTTCTTTAATTATTCTTGAAGTTTTGCCTATCAACTGACAATTTCTTACAGAAAGGAAGCAAAACAGCCTGGCTTTCGTGACAGCGAAGAATTATAATACTAGAATAAAAACAGGTTTGTCACTTTCCTTATCTCTTCTAATGTCTGAGTTACTGGGAGTCAGAAATATAATAACCCCATCCCAGTAACACAGTTATTCAGAATATGTTAAATCGAAAGGTAAATTCAAAGTCAAATTTCTCTATTTTTTGAAGATCAGTATACTCATTCCTAACTACAAGCATCCAGTATGATTAGTTATAAAACATTAGAGAAAATATGGTCATATTCACTTTATTTTTTCAACTGATTATCACCTGATTAGAAAGAAGACCATTTTGTTTCACATGATTTACTCTCAGCAAAAAAACTGTTTACTTAAGCATAGGAAAGCCAACCTTCGTACTAAAAGAGAACTGAGAAATTTAAACAGCCCATGATCTTCATTGCTTTGGCCTCTGCTGCAAAGCGTCACTGTGAAAAATTGGTCCTGATCCCAGCAATCAATGCTTTCCCACTGCACAGAGATGGCCTGGCGTCATTGTGCCATTGTGGCTGCTAAGGGCAGGGTTCCTTAGCAATGCATAATGGCCAGAACAAGTCCTCCCCAACCCTGCACTAAGGGCAGGCCCCCAGTCCCAAATCATTTCCCCATCTTATTCCAGTTTCTCTTCGGGAGCTGTGGTTTCTTTCTGTGGTTGAACGTGGTTCAGCTTTTCCTGAACCCTGTCCTCCCCCAAAAATAATTATCTGTTGGAGAGTGGTGGTGGTTGGACAACATTGTGAATGTAAAATACCACTGAATTGTGCATTTAAATGGGAAATTTTATGCTATGTGTATTTTACTACAGAAATTATCTCTAATGTGTATTCCCAGGCAGCCGAGAGGTCGTCTTCTCAGAGGACCCTGAGCTGCCTTTTTCAGCAGGTCCACCACCTCTGTATCTTTGCATGCTAACAAAGACTTTTTCTTTTTTTTTTTGAGATGGAGTCTTGCTCTATTGCCCAGGCTGAAGGGCAGTGGCGCGATCTCGGCTCACTGCAACCTCTGCCTCCCAGGTTCAGGCAACTCTCCTGCCTCAGCCTCCTGAGTAGCTGAGATTACAGGCACTTGCCAACACACCCAGCTAATTTTTGTATTTTTAGTAGAGACAGGGTTTTGACATGTTGACCAGGCTGGTCTCAAACTCCTGACCTCAGGTAATCCACCCACCTCAGCCTCCCAAGTGCCGGGATTACAGGCATGAGCCACCGCAGCTGGCCAACAAAGACTTCCTGTGCTAATCACAGATATACCAAATGAAATTGTCCCTTTCTGCCCTTTCCCTTCTCCATCAAGGGATGAAATATAATTTTCCTCTCCTTGAATCTATGTAGACTTATGACACACTTGACACCAATCAAATGTAGCAGATATGATGCTGGACAACTTCTGAGGCTCAATGATTACAAGCAATTAATTCATCCTCTTTCTCACTTGCTTGAACTCCCACACTGGATCTCTGAACTGCAATTGCAGCAGTTCAACTGCCCTGCAGCCACCATGCTGCAAGAAAGCCCAGACTAAAGCACACAAGGAAACCAATGGAGAAACACTAAGACTACATGAAGAGCCACGGAGAGGTGCAGCCCTCTGTTCCAGCTTCCGTCGCCGTCTGACTGCAACTTATAAAACCCACAGCTAGAACTACATAGTCAAATCCTTCCCCAATTCCAGACTGGCTGAAACCATGAGGTAACAAAATAATTGTTATCATTTTGATCATAAATTGTTATGCAGATATAGATAACCGGAACTGAAAGTGGAGTGCCATAATATACATCAAAAATACACGACTTTGGGTTTGGGATCAGGCAAAAGCTGGAAGAAACCTGTGAACTATTAACAAAAGCCTAAAGGGCCTGGAGAAAAACTTAGCAGAATTTTAAAAGGTCTCAAGGAGGCTGTCAGTCAAAACCTGGAGGAAAGTGAGAAGATGATATCAGAAGGTTAAGGAAAAGAGATCCTTTCATGCGGTGAGAGAAACCTAAGCAGAGCTGTCATCTGAGGTAACATGGAAAATAGAAAATGTATCTAACGAACTGGATGATCTATCTAAGGAGATTTCCAGGCAATGTTGAGATGGCTGCCTAGTTTCTTCCAGCCACCTATAATAAAATGAAAAGAAAGACATGAACTAAAAAACAAATTATTCAGTTTGAATTGAATTTGAAGAATTTGCAAAGATCCCAAAAGTAGTCTTTTCAGCTCGCAAAATTTTCCAAAATAAGAATGTGTCTCAGGCCAAAAATCAAATCCAAAATGTGACTATGAGATTATCAGAAAGAGTTAAAGCGGACCCTCAAAACACTTTTCAGACAGACAAAAAGGATCCAAAGGGCCTTAAGGGCATGCCTCATGGATCTTTTCAATTAAACAAAAGGGTTTTTAAGAATCATAAAAGCATTGCCCCTCAGCAGTCTCACAGGTAAATCCAAAATAGAAAAGGGTGTATCCGAAAGAGATATGTGGGTATGGCTTTTGGCAAATGAGATAAATCGTAAATTAATGCACAGAAAACCTACACAATTTTAAGAATTGTATTAGAGAAAATTCAAAATTAAAAGAGGCCATTGGATTCTGAAACTTCTAAAGGCAGAAAGCAGGAAGAGAAAACTAATCAACAGCAAACACAAGAGACTTTAATTAGAAGAGGAAAGATGACTCCAAAGATAGAAACAGGAGCCTAGGTAGAGGACCAAGCCACATAAAGAAGAACTCACAGGAAGTAGAAATAAAATCTAATCAAAGAACTGTAATTGTGTGTCTGGCTAGATTCCAGAATTGCCACAGATCAGTGACAGCTGTGTGCCTCCCTTTTGCCCCCTCTTTGAGTGGGAGTGTCCACTGCAGCTCTTGTACACCGGTTCCACCACTGTACATTGGGTCTACGTGGGGAAGAGAAGACCTCTCTTTGGCTCATAGGTTTTCAGGCAGAGAGCAGTATTTAAGGGACCAAATCCAAACACATGACAATCTTTAATTGCCAGTGAACCTGATTTAAATGAAGAGATCCTGACCTTTGAGCCGAAGCATGATGCTGTAATGGGATGAGAATTTTGGTAGGTCTTGGGAGGGAGGATGAGTGTATTTTGCATGTAGGAGAGATGTAAATAGAGGTCAGAGGTCGCTCTGTGGCAGACTATACTTTTCAAAGATGACCGCAAGGATATATTTCATTCCATTTGCTCTTATACAGTACTACCACCTTCCATCAAGAGGAGAGGTCTGATTTGTCTTTTTGTGAATCTAGGTGGGCTTGTAACTCTAACTCACAAACTCACTTAAAACCAATAGAATGATGTAGAAATGACATCGAGTGACTTCTGAGTGTAGGTGATACAAGGTTTTCCTCTTCAATCCTGTTCATTGAAAGCCTAAACTGTTCTATGAAGCAGGTTGACTATACTAAGGTTGCCATACTGGGAGGAAGTCCAAACTAGCCCACACAGAGAGATCACATGGAGAATTCCTAAGTCCTTATGGAAAGAGAGAGAGAGAGAGCTAGTTAGTCTCAACTGCTTTAGCTCCAGCCACCATTTGACTGCATGCAACCACATGAAAGACCCTGAGCCAGGACATCCCCTTCAAGCCCTTCATGAATTTCTGTCCCACAGAAACAATGTGAGATAATAAAGTAGTAGGTGAAAGACACACTTTTGGGTAGCAACAGATACCTGACTACCCAGCCTTCCTTATCTCAACAGCATTACCAACCAAGTTTTCTTTTTACTCCATATGCAAAGCATTAGAAACTACAGCCCATTCAACTTCTAAAATATAAACTGAAGCCTAATACTTCTCATTTTCTCTCCTACTTCCTTAGTCCACATAACTATGATCTTTTCTCTGGCAAACTCCTATCTATTCTCCCAGCTTCCATACTTGCCTCCATAAAATCTATTCTTCATACAGCCCACAGAGTAATCATTTAGAATGGAAGTTATGTCACTTATCTTCCTGCTTAAAACCTTCCAAGTTTTTGCCTTGCAGTTGAAATAAAATCTTAATTCTTTTTCATGGTCTAAAGGTGTTACATGATCTGGCTGTGAGTCACACTGTAACCCCATCTCATGTGGCTCTCTTTCTTGTTCACGCTTATCTAGCTTTACTCAACTAGCTTGTGTTTTTTGAACAAACCAAGTGCTTTCCTAGCTTGGGGGTTTTCATTCATTTTCCCTTTGGAATGGAAATATCTTCATGTAGATCCTCCTGCTGTTGACTTCTCTTTATCATTCGTACCAAATTCAAAGGGTATCTTCTTAAAAAGACTTTCTCTGACCACTCTTTAATGCCATCTGCTCATATCTCACATCCACCTCAGTCACTGTTTCATTACTGCATTTTATTTTCTTCATAGTATGCATGACAATTTGAAATTATTAATTTGTTCACTTCATTTTTGGTCTCCTCCTAAATTAGATTATATGTGTCATGAAAGAATATTTACTCTTCTACCTACCATTTAGAATATTGCCTAACATATAGCTGAGACACATTATTTGTTAAGTGAAGGAAGGAGTGAATGTTATTCCCATGACCTCCACTCTTTTAGAGTAACTGTAGCAGACACTGCTAATTGGCTGCCCTAAACCTATTAACAAAATCTTACTTCCTGCCTATTTCTCAATGATTGCTCTGCAGGTAGCCATGTGACCCAACTCTAGACAATGTGAGGTAAGTGGATAATACTGCATGGCAATTCTTAGAAAACTTTTTTAAAGATAAAATTTCTTTGACAAAAACTTCTAGTTTTTCACTCCTTCTTGTTCTTGACAAGAATAAGTAATGTAAGACCAGGAAATGGAACAACCATCCTGCAGTCATAAATACAAACCCATATGCTAAGGATGGCAAAAACGAATAATGGTATAAAACAACTGTCACTGAAGGGGGAAAATGTACTGACCTAAATAACTTTGGAAATGAGTGGATTGTGTAAGACTAAAAGCAAAAGGAACTGCATATAAGCACTATACTCTTGAAGGTAAAGTTGTTTCTCATAGAGGTGTTGCTTAACAAATCTGTTATTGTTACACATGTATACTGGTATTGAACAATTAAGTAAATAGATGGCAGATGGTAGGAACCAGGTTTCTCAATGTTGGAGTAGGAAGCTAGAGATAAGCAAGGGGAGGAAAGTATAATGATTCATTTGGTAATATCTTTATGGACTCATGTTTAGCTTAATATATGCAGATACACACAAAAATATTTATAAATGTGTGTGTGCATATGGGATGCTATATATGCATATATTATTTTTTGCCCTGACATCTGAAAAGGCCTACAAACAAGAACACCCCAGTAGCAATGAGCACATCTAGGCTTCAGATCTTGGTTACTAACACCATTCTCCAAAAGAACAAGGGTTCTTTGGAGAAATGGTTGCTTTTAGGACTAGGATAAGAAATGTACAAGAAGCCTGGAGTATTCTGTAATGCCAGAAAGGAAATATTTGAAAAAACAAACAAAACAAAGCACACACAAACATTGATGAAGTATGTCAATAATACATAGGACCCAACTGAAAGAGTCTCACTGGCGAAATCTGGAAAAATTTGGAGCAAAAACTTAATAACATAGTATTAGATTATAACCCTATGTACAAAATATTCATGAGTCCGGGGGCAGTTCCAAGATGGCCGAATAGGAACAGCTCCAGTCTATACAGCTCCCAGCATGAGGAACACAGAAGACGGGTGATTTCTGCATTTCCAACTGAGGTACCGGGTTCATCTCACTGGGGCTTATCAGACAGTGGGTGCAGGACAGTGGGTGCAGTGCACTGAGCATGAGCTGAAGCAGGGCAAGGCATTACTTCACTCAGGAAGCACAAGGGGTCAGGGAATTCCCTTTCCTAGCCAAGCAAAGCTGTGACAGACAGCACCTGGAAAATTGGGTCACTCCCACCCTAATACTGCGCTTTTCCAATGGTCTTAGCAAACAGCACACCAGGAGATTATATCCCGCGCATGGCTCAGAGGGTCCCACGCCCACAGAGCCTCGCTCATTGCTAGCACAGCAGTCTGAGGTCAAACTGCAAGGTGGCAACGAGGCTGGGGAAGGGGCGCCCGCCATTGCTGAGGCTTGAGTAGGTAAACAAAGTGGCCAGGAAGCTTGAACTGGGTGGACCCCACCACAGCTCAAGGAGGCGTGCTGCCTCAGTAGACTCCACCTCTGTGGGCAGGACATAGCCAAACAAAAGGCAGAAGAAACCTCTGCAGACTTAAACGTCCCTGTCAGACAGCTTTGAAGTGAGTACTGGTTCTCCCTTCATGGAGTTTGAGATCTGAGAACGGACAGACTGCCTTCTCAAGTGGGTTCCTGACCCCTGAGTAGCCTAACTGGGAGGCACCCCCTAGTAGGGGCAGACTGACAACTCACATGGCTGGGTACCCCTCTCAGACGAAACTTCCAGAGGAATGATCAGGCAGCAACATTGCTGTTCAGCAATATTCACTGTTCTGCGGCCTCCGCTGCTGATACCCAGGCAAACAGGGTCTGGAGTGGACCTCCAGCAAACTCCAACAGACCTGCAGCTGAGGGTCCTGACTGTTAGAAGGAAAACTAACAAACCAAAAGGACATCCACACCAAAACCCCATCTGTACGTCACGATCATCAAAGACCAAAGGTAGATAAAAACACAAAGATGGGGAAAAAACAGAGCAGAAAAACTGAAAATTCTAAAAATCAGAGTGCCTCTCCTCCTCCAAAGGAACACAGCTCCTCACCAGCAATGGAGCAAAGCTGGACGGAGAATGACTCTGATGAGTTGAGAGAAGAAGGCTTCAGACAATCAAACTTCTCTGAGCTAAAGGGGGAAGTTCGAACCCATCGCAAAGAAGTTAAAAAACCTTGAAAAAAGGTTAGACAAATGGCTAACTAGAATAACCAATGTAGAGAAGTCCTTAAATGACCTGAAGGAGCCGAAAACAATGGCACAAGAACTACATGATGAATGCACAAGCTTCAGTAGTCAATTTGATCCACTGGAAGAAAGGGTATCAGTGATTGAAGATCAAATGAATGAAATGAAGTGAGAAGAGAAGTTTAGAGAAAAAAGAATAAAAAGAAATGAACAAAGCCTCCAAGAAATATGGGACTACGTGAAAAGACCAAATCTATGTCGATTGGTGTACCTGAAAGTGACAGGAAGAATGGAACCAAGTTGGAAAACACTCTGCAGGATATTATCAAGGAGAACTTCCCCAACATAGCTAGGCAGGCCAACATTCAAATTCAGGAAACACAGAAAATGCCACAAAGATATTCCTCGAGAAGAGCCACTCTAAGACACATAACTGTCAGATTCACCAAAGTTGAAATGAAGGAAAAAATGTTAAGGGCAGCCAGAGAGAAAGGTTGCGTTACCCACAAAGGAAAGCCCATCAGACAAATAGCGGATCTCTTGGCAGAAACTCTACAAGCCAGAAGAGAGTGGGGGCCAATATTCAACATTCTTAAAGAAAAGAATTTTCAACACAGAATTTCATATCCAGCCAAACTAAGCTTCATAAGTGAAGGAGAAATAAAATCCTTTACAGATAAGCAAATGCTGAGAGATTTTGTCACCACCAGGCCTGCCCTAAAAGAGTTCCTGAAGGAAGCACTAAACATGGAAAGTGGAAAGGAAGAAATTGTACCAGCCACTGCAAAAACATGCCAAGTTGTAAGGACCATTGATGCTAGGAAGAAACTGCATCAACTAATGAGCAAAATAACCAGCTAACATCATAATGACAGGATCAAATTCACACATAACAATATTAACCTTAAAAGTAAATGGACTAAATGCTCCAATTAAAAGAAACAGACTGGCAAATTGGATAAAGAGTCAAGACCCATCAGTGTGCTGTATTCAGGAAACCCATCTCATGTGCAGAGACACACATAGGCTCAAAATAAAGGGATGGAGGAAGATCTACCAAGCAAATGGAAAACAAAAAAAGGCAGGCATTGCAATCCTAGTCTCTGATAAAACAGACTTTAAGCCAACAAAGATCAAAAGAGACAAAGAAGGCCATCACATAATGGTAAAGGGATCAATTCAACAAGAAGAGCTAACTATCCTAAATATATATACACCAAATACAGGAGCACTCAGATTTATAAAGCAAGTCCTTAGAGACCTACAAAGAGACTTAGACTCCCACATAATAATAATAGGAGACTTTTACACCCCACTGTCAATATTACACAGATCAACGAGACAGAAAGTTAATAAGGATATCCAGGAATGGAACTCAGCTCTGCACCAAGCAGACCTAATAGGCATCTACAGAACTCTCCACCCCAAATCAACAGAATATACATTCTTCTCAGCACCACACCGCACTTATTCCAAAATGGCCACATATTCGGAAGTAAAGCACTCCTCAGCAAATGTAAAAGAACAGAAATTATAACAAACTGTCTCTCAGACCACAGTGCAATCAAACTAGAACTCAGGAATAAGAAACTCACTCATAACCACTCAACTACATGGAAACTGAACAACCTGCTCCTGCATTCAGTAGTCATTCTACTGGGTACATAACGAAATGAAGGCAGAAAGAAAGATGTTCTTTGAAACCAATGAGAACAAAGACACAACATACCAGAATCTCTGGGACACAGCTAAAGCAGTGTGTAGAGGGAAATTTATAGCACTAAATGCCCACAGGAGAAAGCAGGAAAGATCTAAAATTGACACCCTAACATCACAATTAAAAGAACTAGAGAAGCAAGAGCAAACACATTCAAAAGCTAGCAGAAGGCAAGAAATAACTAAGATCAGAGCAGAACTGAAGGAGATAGAGACACAAAGAACCCTTCAAAAAAATCAATGAATCCAGGAGCTGGTTTTTTGAAAAGATCAACAAAATTGATAGACTGCTAGCAAGACTAATAAAGAAGAAAAGAGAGAAGAATCAAATAGATGCAATAAAAAATGATAAAGGGGATACCACCACCGATCCCAAGGAAATACAAACTACTATCAGAGAATACTATAAACACCTCTATGCAAATAAACTAGAAAGTCTAGAAGAAATGGATAAACTCCTGGACACATACACCCTCCCAAGACTAAACCAGAAAGAAGTTGAATCTCTGAATAGACCAATAACAGGCTCTGAAACTGAGGCAATAATTAACAGCCTACTAACCAGAAAAAGTCCAAATTCTACCAGAGGTACAAGGAGGAGCTGGTACCATTCCTTCTGAAACTATTCCAATCAATAGAAAAAGAAGGAATCCTCCCTAACTCATTTTATGAGGCCAGCATCATCCTGATACCAAAGCCTGGCAGAGACACAACAAAGAAAGAGAATTTTAGACCAATATCCCTGATGAACATTGATGCAAAAATCCTCAATAAGATACTGGCAAACCGAATCCAGCAGCACATCAAAAAGCTTATCCACCATGATCAAGTGGGCTTCATCCCTGGGATGCAAGGCTGGTTCAATATACACAAATCAATAAATGTAATCCAGCGAATAAACAGAACCAAAGACAAAAACCACATGATTATCTCAATAGACGCAGAAAAGGCCTTTGACAAAATTCAACAGCCCTTCATGCTAAAAACTCTCAATAAATTAGGTATTGATGGGACGTATCTCAAAATAATAAGAGCTATTTATGACAAACCCACAGCCAATATCATACTGAATGGGCAAAAACTGGAAGCATTCCCTTTGAAAACTGGCACAAGACAGGGATGCCCTCTCTCACCACTCCTATTCAACATAGTGTTGGAAGTTCTGGCCAGGGCAATTAGGCAGGAGAAGGAAATAAAGGGTATTCAATTAGGAAAAGAGAAAGTCAAATTGTCCCTCTTTGCAGATGACATGATTGTATATCTAGAAAACCCCATTATCACAGCCCAAAATCTCCTTAAGCTGATAAACAACTTCAGCAAAGTCTCAGGATACAAAATCAATGTACAAAAATCAGAAGCATTCTTATACACCAACAACAGACAAACAGAGAGCCAAATCATGAGTGAACTCCCATTCACAATTGCTTCAAAGAGAATAAAATACCTAGGAATCCAACTTACAAGGGATGTGAAGGACCTCTTCAAGGAGAACTACAAACCACTGCTCAAGGAAATAAAAGAGGATACAAACAAATGGAAGAACATTCCATGCTCATGGGTAGGAAGAATCAATATCGTGAAAATGGCCATACTGCCCAAGGTAATTTACAGATTCAATGCCATCCCCATCAAGCTACCAATGACTTTCTTCACAGAATTGGAAAAAACTACTTTAAAGTTTATATGGAACTGAAAAAGAGTCCACATTGCCAAGTCAATCCTAAGCCAAAAGAACAAAGCTGGAGGCATCACACTACCTGACTTCAAACTATACTACAAGGTTACAGTAACCAAAACAGCATGGTACTGGTACCAAAACAGAGATATAGATCAATGGAACAGAATAGAGCCCTCAGAAATAATGCTGCATATCTACAACTATCTGATCTTTGACAAACCTGACAAAAACAAGCAATGGAGAAAGGATTCCCTATTTAATAAATGGTGCTGGGAAAACTGGCTAGCCATATGTAGAAAGCTGAAACTGGATCCCTTCCTTACACCTTATACAAAAATCAATTCAAGATGGATTAAAGACTTAAACCTTAGACCTAAAACCATAAAACCCTAGAAGAATACCTAGGCAACACCATTGAGGACAAAGGCATGGGCAAGGACTTCATGTCTAAAACACCAAAAGCAATGGCAACAAAAGCCAAAATTGACAAATGGGATCTAATTAAACTAAAGAGCTTCTGCACAGCAAAAGAAACTACCATCAGAATGAACAGGCAACCTACAGAATGGGAGAAAATTTTTGCAATCTACTCATCTGACAAAGGGCTAATATCCAGAATCTACAAAGAACTCAAACAAATTTACAAGAAAAAAACAAACAATCCCATCAAAAAGTGGGCAAAGGATATGAACAGACACTTCTCAAAAGAAGACATTTATGCAGTCAACAGACACATGAAAAAATGCCCATCATCACTGGCCATCAGAGAAATGCAAATCAGAACCACAATGAGATACCATCTCACACCAGTTAGAATGGTGATCATTAAAAAGTCAGGAAACAACAGGTGTTGGAGAGGATGTGGGGAAATAGGAACACTTTTACACTGTTGGTGGGACTGTCAACTAGTTCAACCATTGTGGAAGTCAGTGTGGGGATTCCTCAGGGATCTAGAACTAGAAATACCATTTGACCCAGCCATCCCATTACTGGGTATATACCCAAAGGATTATAAAACATGCTGCTATAAAGACACATGCACATGTATGTTTATTGTGGCACTATTCACAATAGCAAAGAGTTGGAACCAACCCAAATGTCCAACAATGATAGACTGGATTAAGAAAATGTGGCACATACACACCATTGAATACTATGCAGCCATAAAAAATGATGAGTTCATGTCCTTTGTAGGGACATGGATGAAGCTGGAAACCATCATTCTCAGCAAACTATCGCAAGGACAAAAAACCAAACACCACATGTTCTCACTCATAGGTGGGAATTGAACAATGAGAACACTTGGACACAGGAAGAGGAACATTACACACCAGGGCCTGTTGTGGGGTGGGGGGAGGGGGAGGGATAGCATTAGGAGATATACCTAATGTAAATGATGAGTTAATGGGTGCAGCACACCAACATGGCACATGTATACATATGTAACAAACCTGCACATTGTGCACATGTACCCTAGAACTTAAAGTATGATAAAAAATATATATATATAAACAAAACCAAATATTCATGAGTCCATACTGAGATAAAGAAATGATTGAATAAATAAATAAATAAATAAATAAATAAGGGAAAATAGACAAATATCCCAGGCAGGAGAATTCCAAATATTTTATATGGATATTGACCCCTTCAAGGAGATGGACCTTAATTCCTCACACTTTACATGTGACATGTGCATAATGACTTCCTTCCAAAGGGTACAGTACGGAAAGGTGGGAAAAATTTAGCTTTCCAGTTGAGAAGCTTAGCAAACACTACCTTAATCAGGTAATCAAAGTCAACATCAAAAAGTGATAAGTCATGTGGATAGCATGTACCACTGATATTGATGCAGGATTTTTCTTGGCCACTTTCCCTTCTGGAGACCTCCAGCTGACAAAACCTCTGCCCAGGCCCTCCTTGGGCCCAGTTTCATTGCTGGAGATGCCCAGTCTACTCAGGCCACTGGGCTGCACCTGGCTTGCACTCTAATGCAAATCGCGTGGCCACTGCAACTGCACACTCAGCCCCCTGCATTTGATGGGTCCCAAGTTCTTGTCCCATGTCCAAGAAGAATAAGTTTACACTAACAATTAAAGGGTGAGGAAGGTGGAGAATAGTTTTATTGAGCAGCAAAACAGCTCTCAGTGTAGAGAGGACACGAGGGTTGGCCCCAACTCGAAGTTGGGTGGTCTCACTCTCCTTGTGCCTGGGCCAGGGCTTTTATGGACTCAGAATGGGAAGTGCATGCTAATTCGTTTGTGAGTATGCAAAAAAGGCTAAAACAAAGGCGCCATTCAAAGGTGGCCATGGCAGTGTAAAAAATTAATTAGGGAAAGGTAGGTATATGTAAAATAGGTGAAGGGTGAAGATCAATCAGAGGAAAGCAAGCCAAATGGGAAGAGAGTTTCTCAATCTGGTCTGTGGATTTGACTCATGGCTTGGTTTTCAGGCTTTAAACTGTCTTCAGCTTGAAGGTCAAGGTTCACTGGGGACCCGCCCCATCTGCCTACACATTTGTCTGCCTCCTGCCACTATGAATATGATATGATGTGAATAGCACTTTACCTCTGTAGTCTTCCTCCCAAAATTCCATAACTCCAGTCTAATAATGAGAAGAACATCAGACAAATCACTATTGAGGAACAATCTATAAAATTCTGGACCAGTGCTCCTCAAAACTTTCAAGATCATCAAAAATTTTGTACATCTAAAAAAAATGACAAAGTAAGTGTAATATGGTATCCTGGAACTCTAATAGGACATTAGGAAACAACTAAGATAATCCAAATACAATATAATAATACTGATGTATCAATTTTTTTTTCAGTTGTGACAAATGTGCATACTAACATAATACATTAACAACAGGAGGAATTGGATGTGAAGTATATGAGCATCCTCTGCACTATCTTTGCAATTTTTCTGCAAAACTAAAACTATTCCAAAATTAAAAACGTATTTAAAAGAAAAGCAATTATGGAAGGAACTGAGTACTGTTGACATCATAGAGTTGCTGTACCAATCCTGGCTTGCCTGTCACTGTACTTCTTGCATCATGTGAATTCCTATGTTGTTAAATTACTTTGATAGAATATTCTAATTCTCCCTGTTAGAGCAAAGCAATGATAAATGAATATACTGAGTCTCAGAGGTGTGAGAAGAGAATGACAGGACTGAAAAAAAGGAAGAGGCATAGAAAAAACTAAGCTTTTTCAGAAGCAAGGCCATTGTCTCATTTACCCAGATTCTAATGTCATAATTATGACTAAGTTACGCTTTTTTTTAAACTGAAAGAAGTAGTCACTTTCCACAGTTAAAGAAAAACTCTAATTGTTGTCTGTTGTATTATTAAACATGATATGAAAAAACATGAAGATTAGAATCTAGAGATATTTGGAGGTGGCAAATGGGGTTCGCTGAGTTATTCTTGTTTGTCAATCTTGAAGCCCTTACTATCTGGAGAGCAAAAAGAGGTGATGAACCCTGCTGTTTGTTTGCTTATCTTTGAGATATTATGCATCTCTAAACAGGAGCTACAGAATTCTCTAAACAGGAGCTACAGAGGCCCAGTTCATGAGTGGATGTCTCATGAGACTCCCCAGAAAGGGTCTAGGCCCCTCTTGCTGTTTGGGTGGTTCAACCAAGGTCAAGAATGCCACATTCAAATCATCACTTAAAGAAGCAAAGAAATGAGCTTAAGTTAGAAACAAGATACCTCTATCTGAAGGGAAGTATAATCAGCAAAAGAGAAACACAATAAGATCAGAAGTAGAAAAGCAGAATGTGGTAACCAAGTGAAGCTCGAGGTAACCCCAGCAGTGAGGGTGTGGTGAAGCAGAGGGATCATGATTTTTGTTTCCGGGCAAATAAGAAAGAACACCCAAAACCAGATCCCGGCAAAGAGTTAGTATCTGTTTGCTTTCGGTTATACTTCGCCTTCTAGAAGCCTGTGAAGATCATCTCCACATCATCCCCATAAGATTTTAAAGGGGCAACTGTGGTCCAAAACTTTGATACCCTAGGAATGGAAGGGGTTCTGGAGACAAACTTAGTATTTTACTTCCTTTCTCAGAAAGCCCCATGGCTCATTTCATAAATTATAAACTTGGCATTATATATTTAATTGTAATTTCTTCCTCGGCCTATGTAAAGTTCAATCTGAAACAATTTCAGAGTGTTTCATTTTAATGACTGAAATGTGTATTCAATTCCTATAAAAATCCAAAGCTCCATTCCAAATGTAGTTGACATTCTCCAGCACATCATTTAAATTTCTCTTAGTAATTTTGTGCCTTCTGTGAGACAGTGATATTACATTGCCTCAAGGCATTTTGCATATTTTGTTGATTTTAACATTTAAAGTCCTGGTGCTTTCTACACTCTCATTATGCCCCTGTTCATGTCCCAAATTTCCCTCCACTCCTCACTAGGAAGCAGTGAGAAGGTTTAAATAATTTGTGTGATTTTTAAAAAGCAATTTCTCTGGGATGGGGACAATTGAGAGTCTGAGATGGAAGTATTGATGAAGATATCAGAATTCAGGGAAACTTGTTCTGGTTATGATGGCTATGAGGAAAAATAATGGGATCATTCTACCTATGATGTAGATGTCCTAAAAATAAAATGGAAGCCGAAGACTACAATCACTTTAAGCATTTAGGGAAAGGAAAAAATTAAAGATTAAACTTTCACAGGTAAACCCTGTTGAGTGGAGAATAAATATTTGGATGAAAACAGCTAACAAGAATATGCTAATTTGACCCAAAGGCAGTGCCAAGAGCCATTATGTCTATCAAATTTTTCTAGAGAGTTCTATTCCAATGTATTAGTCTGAAAAGCAAGGCCCTAGCTCATGTCTGCTTATTACTTATATATATTTTACTTTATATATTTTATATTATAATATCTAGACTATGACTATAATTATCTGGTCTATAATATGTAGGCTATGTTTCTAAATAGTATGTAGAGGGGAGACATTATGAGTGGGTTCAAATCCTATCCCATCTTCAATAAATAAAATATTTATCTAACTTAAGAAGTCGTAGTGAGAATGAAATGGATAATACATTTACACTCCATAAGATGCAGTGTTAAATAAATGCTAGTCATTATTAATGATTATTACCACTGGCCAGTAGAAGTCATACAGTTCGGGTAACAATGCTAGTCATTTTTATATATTATTAATAAGCCATTTAAACCACCCTCAAGTGTAATCATTACCATTTCTATAAAAAAAATTGAGCTTCAGAGAGTCAAATTACTTTTCCATTGCCACCTAGCAAATAACTGATAAAGTCAGATTTAACTCATATCTGGTTCATTCCAAACCTCATTCTCTTTCAACTATGTCATTGCTTCTTCAAAAACAATGCAATTTAACATAAACAGAAAATAGCACACATATTCACCTTATTAGGGTGGGCAAATTTGGTAAGTAAAAATAAAAAATTGTTGTCTGGGTGCAGTGGCTCACGTCTGTAATCCCAGCACTTTGGGAGGCCAAGGCAGGTGGATCACTTGAGGTCAGGAGTTCGAGACCAGCCTGGCCAACTTGGTGAGACCCCATTTCTATTAAAAATACAAAGCAGCTGGACATGGTGGCACATGCCTGTAGTCCCAGTTTCTTGGGAAGCTGAGGCAGGAGAATGGCTTGAACCCAGGAGGCGGAGGTTGCAGTGAGCTGAGACCGTGCCATTGCACTCCAGCCTGAGCAACAGAGCAAGACTCTGTCTCAAAAACAAAATAAAACAAAGTAAAATAAAAATTGTTCATTGTTTATACGAAATTCAAATTTAACTAGATATATTTATTTGGAAACTCTACATCTCAAAATACTTTTAGCTGTTAAACCTAGATGCTTTTTGGCTAACTATTGAAAATCAGGGATCTCACTTTTTGGTATGTATGTCTTCATTTGTTAGATGAAATTTAGTTAAGGGAGGGATCTTGTTCTTTATTAGACATCTCCCACCCATAGACTCACAGACTAATACCCAGACAGGTCAAAAGTGCTCCTTGTAGACTCTGCTTTATTCATGTTTGTGTCTCCCAACACTATATGTAACATATATGGGCACCCAAAAAATGCCCATGGCATGAAAACAGCCATCAAGTGTTCTTAGGAGTACTTGAGCAGGGAAGATTTGTGTGGCAAGAAAACATTTAGCACATGGTGTGTGCAGCAAATATGAAGCAACAAGAGCTTTGCGTAGCTCTTTGGCGACTTAGAAGTTAACACTTTTCTTTCCTCTACAACCAGAATAAACTTCAAATTCATCTATCCAAGCCCCATGTAATTATGTTTACTACTATTTTATTGAGTTACAGCTCAAAACAGAGAGAAGAGACTGATACTATTATATCTGGAATGTTAAATACTATGAATTGGTTCAAAACTCTGTTGTAGCAGAAATCATCATCAACATCACCACCACCACCATCGTCATCATCATCAGTATCATGTTACAACTAGTTGCTCACTGCATCATCTTTTGAATTCCATTCAGTGAGAAAATTATAAAATAAGAAAACCTTTTGGAAAAGGCAAAGGAAGCCCTGCTTAAGGTTTTGTCACAGGGAAGAGCAATCGAGTCTCTAAAATAAAATTACCACAAGAAACAGAAGCAGTGGTTTGGCTTGGAGGAAAAGAAAAGAAAATAGATTTTGATTTGTGAATTGGAAAAACTGGAACAAGAGCTGACCAAGAGCAGACTCGCATTCCGGGAGAGTAAATGCACCTAAAGAGCTGTACCCCTCACAGCCCTGGCCAGTTTTTGCATGGAGTTCTTTGACAGACTGTCTCTGGAGGGGTGGGCTTATCCCTTCTCGTGATGCTGGAAATATCTGCACTAGCAGCCATCAGAATAGTGGAAATTGATTAATCCAACCAGACTCTCTGAACTTGACCATCAGCACTGCTAATTATTTACTATGAGCAATTCTTCTGCTTTCTATGATCTTACACAATTTACTTAGCATCTCTGTGTCCCTATTTTCTCATCTGTAAAATGGGGTTAATAATGATTCCTATGTCATGTCTGTTGCACAAGCTAAGGTACTCAAATACTCACTGTTACTATCACCTATTTTTCACTGTACACAACATATTATGCAATGACAGTGCTTTAGTATTATAATTTTACAAATGCTTTAGCCTTTTGAGCCTAAAACAGTTTTGGCCTTGAACTTCCCTGATTCCACACTGAGGAAGTGGGAGGGGATTTCTCTCTTTAAAGACCCATCTCTCCTGGGCTGTAGGAGAAAAGCCTTCCCTCTGTTTCTGACACCAATTCTCAGGCCTAGTGACCTAGAAAGTGCCAGAGCGCCTCAGAAACTGACAGTGTGGTGGGTGCAGGTCATTTCCCAACTTCAGAATATGCACTTGGGTGTTAGTACCAGCTCTGAGATCTGGGGGTGCACAGGATGGCTACATAAAAAGATTCCTGGGCACATAAAGAGAGTTCTTGACGAGGGTAGGCACCTGCTAGACCATTAAGCTTTAATCACATCCCCATGTGTAATAGATACTCCTCACCCAATGATGCAGGCACAGAAAAATAAATAGTAGCATTAAATATTTATTCCATAAGGAGCAGAGTTACTTTTTTATGAAGGGCAAAAAAAGGAGTATTGCCAAGGTCAAGAGAGGAGAACAATATATAATTCTCCTATGGACCACTGATAATGAATGTCTCCTATATGTAACATTTTGATCAAGGAAAAAAGGACAAAACCCCTACAAGTTCTTTTGCAGTACCAGATCCTTTTTTTTTCTTAAATTGTGAATCCTATAGATTATTTTATGTTTTAGCATAGCATGTTTTAAATTTTCAGCAACTGCTAATTATGGTTAGAGACAGGAACTTAGAATAGCAATGTGTGATATTTGACTTTTTAAAGAAATATAGAAGATATCTTTACCCTTTGAGTAGATTTTATTTGTTTAAATTCCAAAGTATTTGGAAAAATGTAAAACTAGAAAAACAAAAAAATCCTATATCTGTTCATTATTTCCTTCCTCCTGATGAGTCATCTTGTTTTCATTTTGCTGACTCACTATTTCTGTGAGTGTTGTGATCCTAAGGCAACTAACTCTCATGTTTTTTGGGGTTTTGCTTTTTTTTTTTTTTTTTTTTAACCCCACAGCCTCCTGGTTAAAGCACATTTACAGCTGTTTATTTTCTTCTTTTCCCCCATCAGCTCTCAACACAAATACAGTAGTTACAATTCATAAAATTACAGTATGCTCTTCTCTTTTCAACACTTTCAGAAATACATTTAGTGATATGTTTGTGGATGGCAAAACAATGTCAACGTATTTATCCATCTGCCTTTCTACTAAATCGTAGATGGACTCAGAGTGTTTGATGTATACTGTGGATTATAAGTGCGGTCCTTAACTCTTCTGAGAATGGGTTATACCGAAAGCTGTAAGTATGAATTCATCATACTTTATTTAGAGTGGGAAATCTACACATCTCAGAATACCTTAATTCTATATTGATTCTACTTTAGAGGAAATATAATCTTTGGAGATTATTATGGCTAGAATTTTTTCTCTAAAAAACAAAGCAAACAAGATCATAGTAACCTCTTTCTTTCAGAAAAGCCATTGTAAGTTGTCCTAGGAAAAAATAAATAAAAGCTCATCAAATAAGACTTCCGTGTTCACTTCTGTCACATACACAAGCTGTGTGATAGCTTAGCTTAGGGCAAACCAGTTCTTCCACTCAGAAAAACTAGAATCGTCTGGATTAAATAAATAAGTAACATACTTTTTGAAGGCTCTGGAGAATTACTAAGACACATAGAACTTGAGGATCTGAGATACTGAAAAGAAGGAAAACAGATATTTCCTTCAGGGCATTTGCCAAATTTTAGAGCACAACGAGAGGCCAACTGGGAGGAGGCAGAGAACCTAAAACACTTTTGAAAAGATGAAAGTGCTAGAGAGACAAAATTTGGAGTTCAGGACTGCCCAGAACTAACACTTATAATTAACAGATTTCATTTTGCTGACTCACTATTTCTGTGAGTGTTGTGATCCTAAGGCAACTAACTCTCATGTTTTTTGGGTTTTGGTTTTTTTGTTTTTTGTTTTTTGTTTTTAACCCCATAGCCTCCTGGTTAAAGCACATTTACAGCTGTTTATTTTCTTCTTAAAAACAGATAAGTTTTTAATTGTATTGACTGCTTTTTCCACACCACAATGGCTAAACTGAAAAAGACACAATACCAAGTATTGTTGAGTGCGCAGGGTGATTAAAATTCATATGCTGCTCAGGGGTGTTTGAAGTATTACAGCCACTTTGCAAATCTGTTTGGCCCTCATTATTTACTAATGGCAAACATGTATATTCCACACCTAGGTATATACTCAGCGTAACCTTTAGCAGAAACGACTACATATGCTTATGAAAAGACATGTACTCTAGTGCATAGCAATATTATTATTATTTTTTTTTTTTTTGAGATGGAGTCTCGCTCTGTCGCCCAGGCTGGAGTGCAGTGGCGTGCTCTCGGCTCACTGCAAGCTCCGCCTCCTGGGTTCATGCCATTCTCCTGCCTCAGCTTCCCGAGTAGCTGGGACTACAAGGGCCTGCCACCACGCCCTGCTAATTTTTTGAGCAATACTATTCTTAATAGACAAAAAACAAGAAATGGTCCAAATGTTCATCACAATAGAATGGACAAATTACATTATATTTATCCAATGAAATCCTATGCAGTAATGAGGAGGAATGAACTACTTCAAGATGCAATAGCACAGCTTACCTTCACCAAAATTATGTTGATTGAAAGTAGCCAACAAAAAAGGAATTTCTCTTATTTGATTTTATTTATATAAAGCTCAAAACAGGCAAAAGTAAGCTATGCTGTTAGAAATTAGGATAATAGTTACCTTGGAGAGGGTAATGACTAGAAGTGCTCATGAATGAAGTTCTGGGATTTTTACCAACATTCTACTTTTTCATCAGGTTGCTCGTTACATGTTTTTTTTTTTTTTTTTTTCTCTCTTCATGAAAATTTATTGACCTATACATTTATGATTTCTAAATATCTGTATGTAAACTATACTTTAATTAATAATTACTTTACAACTAAGATCTTGCCCCTGTAGTTTAATGGGTTTTACCTCCAGAAACCTTATCGGGTTTCTACAGTGAAGAGCCAAAAAATATCCCATCCTGGTTCTGATATGGGGAGGAAGAAATGTAACCATTAGAAATACACTTAGGGTATTCTTTTTAACAAAGACATACTCCCCACCAAGGGGAAAGACTTTCCCAGAGCCTTATCCCAGTTAAGAGGAAGGGAATTTATCTGACTTTAGCTCCTTCTAGTCTTCTTGTTCCACATCAGTGGAAAAGAAGAAAGCCAGGAAACATTTGTGAAGGTCAAAGCCCAGGGACACAGTCTGAAAAACTGAGATTTAATCATAAGATTATAGTCCACCTCCCCTCGCTCACACCTTACTGCCACACCAACAGAACTTCAGTATGATCACAAGAGATTACAGAACAAAGAGCTGCAATGTGCGGCTCCTATCTAAGGAAGCGTTCTTAGGGAGGCTCAGAAACAATAGAAATATAAAAACAAGGACACGGGAGGAATCTAAAGGTGTGGCACCTACAACTATAGCAAACATTAAACACAGCTCGACTCCTAGCCAGATTAACAGAGAGCCTCACATTAAAGTCCTATTTCCCTCAGTTTCTATTACTTCATATTTGACTTTCAACAAAATATCACAAAGCATGCTAAGAAGCAAGAAAATTATGTTATGTATTGTTATGTTATGTGTTAACTTATGTATATAGTATAAACCATCTGAAAAACTGAATTAATTTACCCAACTTAAGATAATTTTTCTTCATTCAGTATAAGGCTTAGTTACCTGTTTGAGTTACAAATAGTACTTAACTTTTGAAGGCTGTACTACTGAATTTAATGAACACATTTTCTGCTGACACGCTGAATAATATTCTCTACCTCCCATCTCTGCTCAAATGTCACCTCATCAGTGAGTTCTTCCATCACTTAAAATAGCAGCACATCTCCAAACTTTTGACCTACCCTCCCTGCTTTATTTTTCTCCATAGCATGTGTCTTTGTCTGATATATTATATTCTTACATTATGGTTTACTAGTTGACTCTCTCCTCTAAAATATAAGCTTCAAGGAACTATCTCTTTAAATTCATTACTCCTCCCAAAGTTGTTACAACAGTTAAGTGTTTTGTAAATCTATGTTAACTAGATGAATTAATATATATGTATATTTATCAAAAGTTATGTTTGGTTAAATAAATGTACCATATTATATAATGGTAGCTAACACTGATTGAATTCTTACTATGTTGTAAAAACTGTGCTAAACAGCTATGGGTTTTGCATGGATTACTTCGTTTAAGCTTCACAACAACCATAGGTACTACTGCTGTTCCTTTTTTAAAAAATGAGAAGATTAAAGAAAAAGGTTAAATTAGCCAATGTCCTCCACAGATAAACTGGACCTTTCTTGATTTTACATAATTTTGGCTAAATTACCAATACAATTATCAAAGTTATAAACTATAAATGGTAGGAACCCACTCATTCTAAAGCAGGGCCAATATACACATCTCTGTAAAACTTTTTGGAAGGTATATCAGTCTTACCATCTTTATTAGTCCGTTTCCACACTGCTGATAAAGACATACCCTAGACTGGGAAATTTACAAAAGAAAGAGGGTTAGTGGACTTACAGTTCCATGTGGCTGGGGAGGCCTCATGATCACGGTGGAAGCCAAGGAGGAGCAAAAGTCACATCTTACATGGATGGAAACAGGCAAAGAGAGAGAGCTTGTGGAGGGAAACTCCCCTTTTTAAAACTATCAGATCTCGTGAGACTCATCACTATCACAAGAACAGCATGGAAAACACTTGACCCCATGATTCAATTACCTCCCACCTGGCCCCTCCCTTAACAAGTGGGAATTCAAGATGAGATTTAGGTGGGGACACAGCCAAACCATATCACCATCATCAGAAAAATACCTGCATCCAAAGTATATAAAGGGAAGACTAGGAATTTGGAAAGTAAAGAGCTATGTTGTCTTTTCAGGTAGTGATTAGTAGATTGGTAAAGAGGACTGTGGCTTTTGCCTTTTCTCATCTTCCCTATTCCTTCCCCCAACCCCCTTCCAAGGATTATGCTGCCCAAGAGAACAATCCAGAGAAGACCCATCTTTCTCCTATACTTGCTGAGCTTCAGAAACTCACAGACAAGCTCTAGCTCACTGCACCAAGATGAAGTGCTGTGAGAGAATTCTCAGTAGCTTCACTGGTGTCCTCTGAAGTTTGGGAGCATGCATGACCGTAGAATGAGATATCTGCCTCCCACTGCATAATGCTAGAGTTAAACTGATAGCTGAAGCGGCCCCTGATGGCAGAACTTGAAGACAGGGAGCCATACTTGGCTACCACTTTCAACAATTTGCCATGACAGAGCCAGGATTAATCCATTTTGAAGGCCTCTGTTTATTAAGGTGGACTGCTGGGTCAATGGAAGGTCAGCAGGTAGAGACCATGGGAAAAACTCCCAGGGGCTGGATCTGAGTTAGGCATGACCAGAAGTCAGCCAGAGAAGACATCATCAATATCAGAAATCCGTGCTGTGCAGAAGTCCCCACAAGTCCTCCAAGGATCTAAATGTGATACAAGCTGGCATTTGGATGTCTGCCCCAAAGCACGCATTGACAGCCTATCGGCTGTTGGTAGCCAAGGGAAAACAAAATAGCAAGACCAATGAAGTAAAAATAAATAAAACATTTACAATCTTGTTTCTAATCTCTTCTCTCTATTATGCTGCTTCAGATTTCTTTTAAGTCAGGTAGGAAGGAGGGAGGATAAATGAATGGACCCTCCACCAAATGCAAGGCCACAAACCCCACAGTCAGCATGAGGTGGGATAGAGAAGACAGTTGCTTTTAACTAGTTTAATATTTAAATCAATTTGTTGTAGTCTTTTCTGAAAGGTATAGAGCTCTTTTTAGAATTTCTTTTAATTGAAAGTTATCAGAAATCTAAGCTATCTGTCTGTTCCAGATATTACATAATGAAGGGATGAAGAAGGCAAGATCAAAACAAACGTGTTAAAAGCAGGCGGAAAAATTTTTCTCACTTTTACCCTAAGATTAAATTACTCTATAAACAAGTTATAATGATGATGCTCATACTATATAGACTTAAATGCATTATAAAATAAATAATTACAAAGGAATATAAAATAATCCTCATGATCTTTAAAAACACTAAGATATTGCAAAATCTGAGCTGGGAAGTCCAGTTTTCTAGCTTGATACCAAGGATCTAGATTTCTGGTGTCAGTCCTGGCACAAATGAACTATTTTGGACACAGACTCCACACTTAATCTCAATGTTGCATCTGCTTCAATAGTTATATGTGAAATCTGAAATATACAGCAAAGAACAACTTAACAGAGAAGACACAGTTAATATCATATGTATCTGCTAAGAGACCATAAGATTACCAAGACTGTATATGAAGGTACAGTAAAACATCTCCATAAATGCGAAATAATGACCATCATTGACTGAGCTATGCCAGTCTAGTAAAAAAGTACTGTGTTTTACTTTTTAATTCTCACAACAAACTCATGAGGTAGGTTCATTATTATTCCTATTTTACAGAAGAGGAAACTGAGGCATGAAGAGATTAAGAAAATTGTTATCAGCTAGTAGGTGGCAGACAGGATTTAGTCTATGGTTCCTCTTATATTTATGTAAATGAGACGTCTTAAGTGGCAAAACAAAACTAGCCCAAATTCTTCAAAAGTTGAGATGAAATTATAAGAGAGTTACTCCCTTGTGTTTCCTTAAGAGCCCAAGACTCCTAATGCCAGAGGTGTCAGTTTTGAAAAATTTCCTCTGCCCAAAGTTGATTATAACATTATTATAAAATTCTCAATGCCTGTCTCTTCTGGGTTTTCAAACACAGTATGGTGGGCAGGGATTCCTTTAAAGTCAAATTTAGCTGGAGGGAAAATATTAATCATTAAAGTTGGACTGGCCCCAAAGATTTGGTGTGTCTGTTCTTTTATCTTTACACTTACTTCTTGTAATACCAATTTTACAATAATACATATTTCCGCATATTTTTCTTATCCAAAAGCTTGAATATATATTGTGTCATGTTTTTGATTATTACTTTAGTAACACACTAGTTGATATAAATGTTTAGTGTTCAGAACTAATGCATTAGCTCCCTAAGCTGCCAGGAGTGTTACTGCCAATGGCTTCCAGTTGAGTGTATCTCTAGGAATTGTTGTTGGTTGAAAGAAGTTGCCTCAGTCAAGATTAAGACATTTCCTTGAAGGCTGCTTGAATTTAATGAGTAGTCAGAGTTGTGGTACAAAGATCTTGATCCCCTGACTCAATAGAGACAATCATGAAGGGCTATCCCAGTTACAGGAATCTCCACAGGATCAGTTGAAGCCTCTGGTGCAATTCATTGCAGTTCAATTTTATCTTCTGCCCAATCTTGCCTCCCTCATCCCTTACTTGTGTTGGTCTCTAGTAAATGCCCTGTAAATAAATCTGCACCTAAATCCCAGAGTCCTGGAGTCTGTTTTCTGGGGAATCCAACATAAGAGAGTTGGTTCTGGGAATGTCCATAGGAAGCAAACCCCATAAATGTGATTTTAGAGCTAGATTCGCTGTGGGTCGTATGGTAATAAGGACACCATCATTGGAGGTAGATGAAGCACTCACAGCCCCTGGCACATGTTTGCAGTATGAGTAAAACTTATACCAGTGATGAATGGGGATGAGATACTTATGAAATGTAATTCACTGGCAGGTGTAATATATTAAGATTTTTAGATACTTGGGGAAAATAATAATTATAAGAATGATAGGATCAGATAGTTACTGATGAGACACATGACATATTGGAAAAAGACAGTGGAAAGATGAAGGTGATTAATCACCAACATAAGGTAAAATGGTAAAGCCCAAGAGTTTCCTTGACATCACATAGAGGCTCTCATTTCCATCAGCTACAGAGTACAAAAGGCTGAGCATGAGACCCAGTAATTAATTATAAGAGAACCTGCTCCAGAGTAGGTTGCATTCTCAACCCTGTCAGGTCTGATATGCCAAGGTCAAAGCACTGATTGAGAAACGGGGGGACCCTGAAACTTGGAATGGGAACTCCTGGGACAATGTACTAAAAGATCCTGAATTTCAATAATCCTCGGAACCCAAAGACTGCAGAAATGTCTCACTTCTCACCCTTAATAACCATCACTCTCCCCTTATTTTGAAGACAATGTATAGATTTTTGATTGAAAGACACCAGTTTCTCTACTCAAGATATAGCACCACTTTCTCTACTGACTGCTAGAAAAATAACTGGGATTGGGTTATAACCCAATCCATAATCCCTAGCCATAACCAGGCCAGGAAAGTGCAGGGCCTTCTAAGGGAAGAAAGTCATTATATACCAAAGCTATCAAAGGACCTAGGCAACATGTATGGGTTGTAGTTGGGAGATTACATATGAACCTGAATCTTGAGAGCACTATAACAAGAGGGATGGAATGCGAAACTAGGCAAGGACATGTTTATCATATGGGATCACTCTCCGACATAAGATTTAATACACTGGCAGGAACCCTGGAAGATGGTACTCTTATACTGCTAGACTGGCCCTAGGATGCTTGGAAAAAGTGATGACTCATACTAAGTGAAGTGGAAACTGCCAGAATGAATGGTGAAGGAAAGAATTAAAGAGCTAAAAAATACCATGTTAGAGTTCATAGTCTACCCTGAAAACAAGTCACAATTCTCTACTCAGTTTCCAGACCTAAGCTAGTTCTTAGATCTGAAATCACTGACTGAAGGAGAGGCTGATTGACCATGAGAAAGGAACCTGCAGCACCATGGCAGGTATACAGATAATAGTTTCCCCGGTCCCTCTCCAAAAGGAACCACTACCATTTGCTCAAGTACCTGTACATCAGAAAAACGAGAATACTCAAAATATTAGAGGACTGTAGGAAGTATCCACATTCCCTACCCTCATTAGAGTGATGGGTATGGGAGTAAGATGTTAAGTGTAGTCCTGTCCCAGATCCAACTCACAGTGAGATCACTTATTCCATGGACACATCCTGTAGTCATTTCTCTAGTCTCCAAATGTCCGATTCAATGGATATCTTGGTGGCTGGAAAAGCTCCACATTGGTTTCTTGATCTGTGAGATGAGAACTATGTGTAGTGGGGGGAAATCAAGGGGATTTCTCTGAAACTTCCTCACAAGAGAGTAAGTCAAGACTAATATTGCCCAACTCAATGAGTGTACTAAAACACATTGAGTTATGCAGTTTAAATAGGTGAATAGTATGATATGTTAATTATATCTCATTAAAATGTTTAAAATTGCAATTTGGGGAAATGGCATACAGTAATGTTACCTTTAGACACCTAGAAAATGCACCTTAACATATCTCCATTTCATTTACCAATCTGGCACCTAGAGAAACCAGATACATCCTCTTGGTAACGGTGGTTACTGCAAACTCAATTAAGCAGCAACTCCAATTAAAATTGGCATTTCAGATATATTATCTTTACTAGCACAAATTAACATGGACTTGGGAACATGGTATATAGCCATTGACCTAGCAAATTTGTTATTTTCATTTCTATCAGGGAAGAGGACCTAAAGTAGTTCACATTCACATGAGATAAGCAATAGCATCTATTTGTGATCTTGCCCTGGAGCTGCAGTATTTCTGACACTCTGTTGTAATATAGCTGGAAGCAACCTGCACATTTGGACATTTCCAAAAAAAAAAAGAATTCTTTCAATTCAATGAAAAACTGCTAATTAGACCTGATGAACAAGAAATGGCAAATACATCGTAGGCTTTGGTAAGAAACAATCACTTCTGATGGCAGCAGAGAAACTCTACAAAGAATCAGTGACATGCCACATCAGTAAAGATTTTAAGAGTTTAAGAGGCAGGCCGGGTGCAGTGGCTCCCACCTGTAATCCCAGCAATTTGAGAGGCCAAGGAGGGTGGATCACGAGGTCAAGAGATCGAGACCATCCTGGCCAACATGGTGAAACCCTGTCTCTACTAAAAATACAAAAATTAGCTAGGCGTGGTGGCAGATGCCTGTATTCCCAGCTACTTGGGAGGCTGAGGCAGGAGAATCACTTGAACTGGGGAGGTGGAGGTTGCAGTGAGCCAAGACTGCACCACGGCACTCCAGCCTGGCAACGGAGCCAGACTCTGTCTCATAAAAAAAAAAAAAAAAGAGACAGGGACTGGTTGGAATCCTGTCATGACCATCATTTTGAAGGAAAAAAAAAGAGTGTAGCGGTGGGTCAGACTGAGACATACAAATATAAAGAACAAAGAACTGTCCAAATTAGAGAACTAAGAATTGCATTTTGAGCCGCTAAAGTAGAAGGATGTGTAATGCCTAGCAGAACTCTCCCAATTCTGGAGGCAGTATATATGCCATACTTGGGAAAACTATATCATCCCATTTACTGATAAGGAAGGTTACTGACTTTAAACGGGGTCCAGAGCAGGAAAGGGCACTGCAACAGTTCCGAGCTGCCGTGCATACAAGCATTCCTGCTGCTTGGGCCCTTCGATCTGGCAGACCTTCTTATGTTAAAGTTATCTGTGTTGGGAAAGATGCCATATGGCATTTAGGGTACCACCAAATAGAAGAGTAACAGTATGGGTTCTGGAGCAACAGTATGGGTTCTAAACATCTCCATATTGTCTGATGTTTAGATGATTGAGCATCATTCTAAAAATAGATGTTGGTTTTTGACTGGGTCCTGGTAGAAATGGAGCATCTGAACCTGGATGCACAGTGACAGAACTACCCACCTTGAGTTGGGTTATCTCAGACCCACCAAGTCATAGGGTCAATCAGACCTAGCAGTAATCAATCCATTGTAAAATGGAATTGGTATCACTTGGAGCAAGCAACAGTAGTGAAGTCAACTGCACAATCGAATAGTTCAGAAGTCTGTGCCATCCACTACTGCTGCACCAGTACCCTTCTCTCATCAAACAGCTATAGTAAATGAGAGAAGTCTTTTATGGCCAGCTGACACAGGAGGCAGAGGGCCATGCAAAGTTCATAAATTGGTTAGTTCAGCACATGGGTGCACGTTGACAATAGACTGCTATTCTACTGCAGGCCCACTTAGTGGTGGCCTTGAAAGACAGTGGCTAGAAGAAGAAATTATAGCACTCAGTAAAGTTTTGGGCAGTGCCTCTGGTCATGCACTTTGCAGGAAAATATAAGTAGACATATATGCATGGATTCATGGATAATGACCAGTGGCTTGGATCTTTGCTTGGGGCCCTGGAATGAAAAAAAAAATTGTAAGATTGCAGACAAGGAGATTTGGGGAAGATATATGTGGGTAGAATTATCAGAGAAAGCATATTGCATATTAAAACTAGAGAATATCCACCGAAACCGAGTGGACAGAATTATACAGCTAATCGATGTTTACACAGCTTCTGTTCTTAGCCACTGCCAAATGGCTGGGGTGACAGCCACTGACAGGTGGTTGCAAGTTCAGTACATTGGATTTCATCTATGCTAGAATAACCAGTGATTTATGTTGATTGGAATCAACAGTTATTCTGGGTATGGGTTACCTTTTCTGCTTGAAGGGCTTTAACCAGTACCATTCTCCAAAGGTTTATAGAGTTTTGATCCACCAATACAGATCCCATGTAACAGTAAATAAAACCAAAGGAACTATTTTAAAGCAAAGGAAGTTCATCAGCAAGCTCATGGTCACGGGATTCACTTGTCCTCTTACTTTCTATACTACCCAGAAACCATCAGATGATGGAGTGATAGAGTAGCTTATTAAAAGTACAGATGCAGCACCAGTTTGGATGTAAAGATGAGGCACCAACTTGGATAATAGGGCACTATCTTTCATGATGAGACACTTAACACATTGATATTCATTATATTGTGTTGTGCTCCCCATATGTAAATACATTGCAACAGGAACCAAGGGGTGAAAGTAAGAGTGGCCTCAATGATCATCAAGCTGAGTGACTTACTTGGAAGTTTGTATTCTGTACCTTTAACTCTAGGCTCTTTTAGCTTTAGAGATTTAGGAACACTCCCTCCCACCAAAGGACAAAGTGAGAGTCCCATTAAACATTAAGTCAAAGTTGACCTCTGGTTACCTTAGTCTCTTTATACCTAGAGCTTGGTGGGAAAAGAACAATGTCAACATCCTTGCAGGTATAATTGATCCTGATCTTCAGGGGGAGACAAGGCTGATGGTATACAATGTGGGCAGGGAAGGATTCATTTGGCATCAAAGTGATGCACTGGCGTATCTGTTGGTGTCCACTATTAACAGGTAATAGTCAAGTATAGCAGCTGTGCTTGAGAAATACATGGGGATTAGGAGCTCTCACTCCTCTTGGACGAAGGTCTGCATCACTCAACCACGTGAGCCATCAAGACAAGCAGAGGAGCTAGTTAAGGGTGAAGCAAACTTAAAATGATAAATATCCTTGAAATTAGCCACAGCACCGGAGTTTGTAGTTTGTACTGTTAATCTTCCTCTTGTATGTTTCCCTGGTGGTAGAGACCAACCATAATCTTGTAGGAGCTGCCTCCAGACAGGGTGAATTCACTACATTATATGAAGTAAAAGATCCAGAGACACACAGGAGTGAACTGTAGTGAACGCTATAGCGTTAGACACACAACTTTCTTTAAGGCCATGCACCCATCATCCAGCTGCCAGAATTGTTGACTACTGACAGCACTTAGCTGAATGCCCCTCCAGATATCACCCATGGTTGGTGGAAGCTTCCTCATTTAAGGTTCTGTCCTTTGCCTCTGGGTAGGCTGCAGCCAATGACCGGTTCATGGAGCGATACAAAGGCCTGGCCTCTGCCTCAATGGAGGCAACCCTGAAGAGGCACCCGAGACTTGTTAGAACTGCCTGGTGGTTAAACTCCTTCTGCTCAATCCTGCTTCCCTCAACTGGCATGTGTGTAGTTCTCAGGAACACTACCCAACACACTGCCTGCATGCTAATCTCCATTTCCGGGTCTCTTTTTGGGGAAGCTAACCTGCAACATTTGCCAACTCTGCTAGAATAATACTTCCTTTTTTTCTTACCTAGCCATTATAAATGTATACGTGATGTTATTCTTTCTCGGACAATAAATAGTACTTTTAAACTCATGTTTAAATGATTCTTTCATGTCTCCTGAAGGCCTGGTGTCAAATTCCACTGAACCCTCTTTCCTTTGCCTTTTTCCTAAGATTGCCAGACCTGGGTACCTGCAGGCACAGCTGAGGAGACCTGGCATTTTCTCATCTACTCTTCAAAAGTGCCATGATCTAGTTCCTCTATTGCTACAGCAATAGCATAAAGACAAACCTTGCAATGGCCTCTTTTAATATGAAACAATTCAGTTTTTACTTTACCAAAGCCACCAATTTCCTGTACTTTTAAGCCTTTGTCTCACTTCAAGAACCACAAAACACAATCATTAACAAACACCAACAGTATTTCTCAGTCTTAATTCAAGTTTGATGTTTCAGTTTAAGTTCTACCACAGAAAAAAGTCTCCAGAAAAGTGTCCTTTTTGGTTGCCTGGATAACTTTTCATTAACAAAATAAAGTCCAAACTCCTGTCAATGTTAGGTCCTTTGTGCTTTGTCTTTAAATGAATCTCCACTCTGATCCTGCTAAACTGATTGGTATACAATTTATATCTCGTCCATTTTTTGTAGTACTCTCCTCTCTCATGGCTCTTCCACCTATTAGTCAAGCCCCATCTCTTATAACATCTGTGATGAAGTTTTGTATGACCAACAGAGAGAAAAACAGAGTGGTGGGCCCCCAATCGCTTATGGGAGAAAGACCATAATCCCTCCCACAGCTTGGAAGGTCCTGTATGGGACAGCTTCTCTGTCCAACTCCAGCTTTCTCTGGCACATTGCTTTCTGAGTTTCAGTCCCATTCACATTTTTCTCTTTGTAGCACCGACGTTCTTCCTGCCAAAGGGTTATTTGGATACCTTTCCTCATACTTCTTACATTGCCTCTGTCCTGGAAGCTCTAGTCTTTTGCAAGAGCTTCCTCATATTCTTTCAGATCTAATATCAGTTTTCACTTCCTCAGGGAAACTTTACCCTATTTCCCAGAATAGGTAAGAATTCCATTACGTGCTCTCACAGAACCCATAATTCTGCTTATAGCTGTAGCTATGTTCTAGTTACCCTGTATTTCTTATTTAGTGCTTTTCTTATTAACTTAGTCAAGGTTTGGGTAGAAAATCAGAAATAGGCACTTTATGACAAGCATGGTGACTCACATCTGTAATCCTAGCACTTTAGGAGGCCGAGGCAGGTGGATCGCTTGAACCCAGGAGTGTGAGACCAACCTGGGCAACACAGCGAAACCCCATCTCTACAAATAATACAAAAAATTAGTGGGGCATGGTGGCCTGCACCTGTGGTCCCAGCTACTCAGGAGGCTGAGGTGGGAGGATTGTTTGAGCACAGGAGGTCGATGCTGCAGTGAGCCATGTTCATGCCACTGCACTCCAGCCTGGACAACAGAGTGAGACCATATCTCAAAAATAAATAAATAAATAAATAAGACATACCCACTTTAGGCCAGGCGTGGTGGCTCACACCTGGAATCCCAGCACTTTGGGAGGCCGAGGCGGGTGGATCACGAGGTTAGCAGATCGAGTCCATCCTGGCCAACATGGTGAAACCCCATCTCTACTAAAATACAAAAAATTAACTGGGTGTGGTGACGTGCGCCACTAGTCTCAGCTACTCAGGAGGCTGAGGCAGGGGAATCGCTTGAACCCAGGAAGTGGAGGTTGCAGTGAGCCGAGATAGCACCACTGCACTCTAGCCTGGCAACAGAGCAAGACTCCAACTGAAAAAAAAAAAAAAAAAGACATACCCCACTTTAGGTATGTCGAGGAGGAAGGGACTAAATATAGGAATGTAAGACTTACACAAGACTTTGGAAGGGAGGAAGAGCAAAGCCTGGGAGGAAACTGACATCAGAATTCAGGAGCCCATAAAGTGCAGGAGTCATTTGTGATCTGGGCTGAGCCTCTGTGGTGAATTTGTAAGCTAAGGCCTAAAAGCTGCTGGCAAAACCTCCTATGAGCCATCTGCCAAAGCCCATGCAGTTCTCTTACACGCCGTAGGAGATTACTACCTTCTGCTTCTTTTCTTCCTTCTAAATCTCTTGCAAACCTCTCTCATTACCAGAATCTAATCTGCTGGTAAGCATTTTAGGCAATGTAGTTCGGCAGCTTCTAGAACAAGTTTGACAAACATTTCTATAAAAAGCCAGATAGTCAATATTTTAGGCTTTAGCTATTGTAGTATAGATTGCACCCACACTAACATTTGAGTTTTGGATAATGATTACACATTACAAACTCCTAGTTTTCATTTGATTCTTCCCCAAAACCTTTTTTTTTTCTTTCTTTTTTTTTTTGAGCTGAGGCCTTTCTCTGTTGCCCAGGCTGGAGTGCAGTGGCATGATCTCGGCTCACTGCAACCTCCACCTCCCAGGTTCAAGCAATTCTCCTGTCTCAGCCTCCCGAGTAGCTGGGATTACAAGTGCCTGCAACCATGTCCGGCTAATTTTTTGTGTTTTTAGTAGAGACGGGGTTTCACCATGTTGGCCAGACTGGTCTTGAACTCCTGACCTCAGACAATCCACCCACTTTGGCCTCCCAAAGTACTGGGATTACAGGTATGAGCCACTGCGCCTGGCCCCGCTAAACCATTTTAAAATGTAAAAATTATTAATTTGTGATCAGGACAAACAGGTGGCAGGTTAGATTTGGCCCATAGGCAGTTGTTTGCCAACCCTTTGTCTAGACCCTGCAAAACAAGAAGGGTCTTGTACCTAACTAACAAAACTACAATTGTTTTATCATCTCAATGGTATCATAGATGTGAGTTCAGGAAGAGGAGGTGAAGAGCAGGAGCAGATGCTAGAGGATTCTGAGCCACCACTCCTGAAATATACTTGTGGTTTCTTCACATTTTCAAATTCAGTCTTATATTCATATGTATAAGTTACATTTAATCACGAAAAACGGCTGCACACATCCCACTTCGTAATTCTATGGGTCAGATAGCACTCAGTTCTTAATGGTAGCTCCATACCTATATCGCTGGTGTTCCATACCACCATCATCTGCTTCTTTTCCACCAGGGCCAAGAAACAAACTAAAAGCAGCCTTACCAATGGAGGATAGTAGTTTGAAGAAGAGGAATTAGCCTTACTCTAAAACCTCAGCGGTCTGGTGATGTCATTGTTGCTGGCAACAGATTTTATCCCTTTCTGCCACAAATACTTCAAGTACAATTCACTTTGCTGGGTCACAGGTCTAAGTGATGGGTCAGCTTGCACAGAAGCCTGGACCTGCTGCATAACCCCACCTTGCTCTAAATATCCCTTGGAACAGGTAGCTGTATAGGTTACCTGGTGGTTGGGCCAGAGTAGTATATCCAAATATGGAATTTGTCGCGTCCCAGTTTCAATGAGACATACTGAATGCTAGAGCTCTTTCTTTTGTGGACTGTGCAAAGTGAGACAACTTGTTTCTAATTTGAAAAGGAATATTCTGCCATTTTCACAGCATTGTCACACTAGAAACTTCATATGATCACAAGTCTATGAACTTTCACATGGTTTGTCTCCCTTCCTTGGTCATGTGTTTGTCTTCCTAAGGCATCAGGTTGTTAGTTTCTTCCTGATGACATGGTAAAATTAATATGCTCCAACATGGCATTCTACTGGGTGTCAAGATAATCAAGCTCCCTCTAGACCAGGAAGCAGCTATTCAAAGTACGTGCCTGCAACAGTGAGGT